>NT_187677.1:0-189352 GCF_000001405.40 Homo sapiens | reverse complement strand
GAATTCCATTCTAGCACTTGTGAGCATGTGTCTTTGCACCAGTCATGTCTTCTATTTTTTTTTTTTTTGAGATAGAGTCTCACTGTGTTCCAGCCTCTGGAGTAGCTGGGACTACAGGCACACACCACATACCCAGGTAATTTTTTTCATATTTTTAGTAGAAACGGGGTTTTGCCATGTTGGCCAGGCTGGTCTTGAACTCCCAACCTCAGATGACCTGCCTGCTTCGGCCTCCCAAAGGGCTGGGATGGCAGGCCTCTGAGGCTGGAGTACAGTGGTGTGATCTCAGCTCACTGCAACCTCCGCCTCCCGAGTTCAAGCAATCCTCTTGCTTCAGCCCCGAGTAGCTGTAATTACTGGCGTGCGCCACCACACCCAACTCATGTTTGTATTTTTAGTAGAGATGGGGTTTCACTGTGTTGGCCAGGCTGGTCTTGAACTCCTGACCTCAAGTGATCCAGCCGCCCCTGCCTTCCAAAGTGCTGGGATTACATGCAGGAGCCACCCGGCCCAGCCCGTCTTCTATTTAAGCCTCATTTTCCTCATTAAGTCATCATTACCTCTTTCTCCTCACACATAGTGAAATTCAAAGTCTCACTATTTTTTTTTCTTTTTCTTTTTCTTTTTCTTTTTTTTTGAGACGGAGTCTCACTCTGTCGCCCAGGCTGGAGTGCAGTGGCGCGATCTCAGCTCACTGCAAGCTCCGTCTCCCGGGTTCACGCCATTCTCCTGCCTCAGCCTCTTGCGTAGCTGGGACTACAGGCGCCCGCCACCACGCCCGGATAATTTTTGTATTTTTTTTTAGTAGAGACAGGGTTTCACCGTGTTAGCCAGGATGGTCTTGATCTCCTGACCTCATGATCCACCTGCCTCGGTTTCCCAAAGTGCTGGGATTACAGGCGTGAGCCACCGCGCCGGGCCTCACTCCTGTAATCCTAGCCGTGCGCCCCAGGCCCATCCCACCGTCATCTTCCAAACATCATTTTCAACCCTCCTGGCCTCATAGTTATTATTGTATTACCCCAGTTATCTTCCTGCCCCAGGGCACAGGCAGATGCCATTTCATTCTCTCCAGAGCCTCCTTTCTCCTGACAGCCACATGATTAACTCAAGTCTGAACGCATTTGCTCAGATGCCTTCTTTCTCTGTGAGGTCCATCTGGACAAACCTATTTAATATTGCTAGCTGCCATTTCAATCACTGTAAGTCTGTTCTACTTTGTCTTTTCCTTCCATAGCATCATTCCCTCCTGTGTGCTATCCTGACGTTGACCGATGGTGTGTCTCCTCCTGCTAGAATCTAAGTGCTGCACAGTCAAGATATCTGCCTGGCTGACTGTTACAGTGTAGTTCACTGTGTATACTATGCACTTGATGAATATATATATATAATAGTTTTGTTTTTGTTTTTCTGTGAGATGGAGTCTCGCTGTGTCGTGCAGTGGAGTGGAATGCAGTGGCGCGATCTCAGCTCACTGCAACCTCTGCATCCCAGGTTCAACAATTCTCCTGCCTCAGCCTCCTGAGTAGCTGGGATTACAGGCGAGCACCACCAGGCCCGGCTAATTTTTGTATTTTTAGTAGAGATGGGGTTTCACCATGTTGGTCAGGCTGGTCTCGAATTCCTGACCTTGTGATCCAACCACCTTGGCCTCCCGAAGTGTTGGGATTACAGGTGTGAGCCATGATGCCCAGCCTAAGTTTTGTATTTTTAGTAGAGACAGGGTTTCGCCATGTTGGCCAGGCTGGTCTCAAACTCCTGACCTCAAATGATGCACCATCTCGGCCTCCCAAAGTGCTGGGATTACAGGCGTGAGCCACCACGCCTGGCCTCGATGAATATTTTGAATGAATGCCACGTTTTTAGTGTCACTGGGAGGCTCTGATCGCTCGTCTGAGCTTAGAAGGACCAGTTACTCACCAGGAAAGGTGGGGTCTTCAGGTGCAAGGCTGGTGTTCTCAATGTCGCCTGGAAAAGGAGATAAAGAAAAAAAAGTAAGGGTTTTTGGTTTCCTCCGGTCTTGCCATTCTTTTTTTTTTTTTTTTTTTTTTGAGATGGAGTCTTGCTCTGTCGCCCAGGTTGCAGTGCGGTGGTATGATCTCGGTTCACTACAACCCCCGCCTCCCGGGTTCAAGCGATTCTCCTGCCTCAGCCTCCTGAGTAGCTGGGACTACAGGTGTCCGCCACTGCGTCTGGCTAATTTCTGTATTTTTAGTAGAGACGGGGTTTCACCGTCTTGGCCAGGCTGGTCTCGAACTCCTGACCTTGTGATCCACCCGCCTTACCATTCCTTTCTCTGTTCCCTCCTCCTTCCTGCTTCTGGTGTTCTTCCTCACATGACCAACCAGGCACCCAGGAAGTGGACGTCCCTTGGACACCCTCCCCATCACTCTCTGGGGATCCCTCAGGGCTCCAGGTAGCACATGGCGGCGAAGGGTGTGGGGAATTGAGCATTTCCTCACCTGTGACCAGGAGCTTCACTGGCTCACTGGGGAAAGACCAGGCATGGTTGTTATAGGAGCCAAAACATCGGTATGTCCCTCTGTGGGCTGTGGTCACAGGGCCCAGGGGGAACTCCGCCTGGACCTTCCCGTATCCGCGCTGTACGTGGCTGGATCTTCCCTCCTTGAGCAGTAAGAACATGCTTGTTGCAGTGTCTAGACGGCAGTAGAAGGTCACCTTCTCTCCCGAGATCACTTCGGGTCCAGGATGAACCGAGAGGGTGGGTGTGTCATACATTTCTATGAGAGAAGGTGGGGCCACCACACCAGAAACTCAGTGATGAGCAGCCAGCTATTTTTTTTTTTCTTTCTTTAGAGATGGAGTCTCTCTCTGTCGCCCAGGCTGGAGTGCAGTGACACGATCTTGGCTCACTGCAACCTCCGCCTCCCGGGTTCAAGCGTTTCTCCTGCCTCACCCTCCCAAGTAGCTGGGACTACAGGGGCCTGCCACCATGCCTGGCAGCCAGCTTTTTTTTTTTTTTTTAATTATTATTTTGGTCAAATACACACAATAGAAGATTTACCGTCTAAAACCATTTTTAAAAATGATACAGGGTCTTGCTCTGTTTCCCAGGCTGGAGCGCCGTGGCACTATCTTTGCTTACTGAAGCCTCGACCTCCTGGGTCAGGAGTTTGAGACCAGCCTGGTCAACATGGTGAAACCCCGTCTCTACTAAAAATGCAAAAATTAGCCGGGTGTGGTGGCACATGCCTGTAATCTCAACTACTTGGGAGGCTGAGGCAGGAGAATTGAGGCTGAGGCAGAGGTTGCAGTGAGCTGAGATTGTACCACTGCACTGCAGCGAGACTGTCTCAAAAAAAAAAAAAAAAGCCCCGGCCAGCCGCCCCGTCCGGGAGGTTGGGGGGCAGCCCCCGCCCGGCCACTGCCCCGTCTGGGAGGTGGGGGGGCGCCTCTGCCCGGCCGCCCCGTCTGGGAAGTGAGGAGCCCCTCTGCCCGGCCGCCACCCCGTCTGGGAGGTGTACCCAACAGCTCATTGAGAACGGGCCATGATGACGATGGCGGTTTTGTCGAATAGAAAAAGGGGAAATGTGGGGAAAAGAAAGAGAGATCAGATTGTTACTGTGTCTGTGTAGAAAGAAGTAGACATAGGAGACTCCATTTTGTTCTGTACTAAGACAAATTCTTCTGCTTTGGGATGCTGTTAATCTATGACCTTACCCCCAACCCCGTGCTCTCTGAAACATGTGCTGTGTCCACTCAGGGTTAAATGGATTAAGGGCGGTGCAAGATGTGCTTTGTTAAACAGATGCTTGAAGGCAGCATGCTCCTTAAGAGTCATCACCACTCCCTAATCTCAAGTACCCAGGGACACAAACACTGCGGAAGGCCGCAGGGACCTCTGCCTAGGAAAGCCAGAGACCTTTGTTCACATGTTTATCTGCTGACCTTCTCTCCACTATTGTCCTATGACCCTGCCAAATCCCCCTCTCCGAGAAACACCCAAGAATGATCAATAAATACTAAAAAAATTAAAAAAAAAAGAATAAATGAGTAGCTGTGTTCCCCTGCCAGAACCTCCAAACAAGGTCCAAAGACCCTGAGCAAATGAAAAGGCACAGACAAAAAATATATATATTTCAACACAAGTATATGACACAGAATATAGAAATAACTTTTCCTAATCAATCAAAATATAAGCAACCCAATTTAAAAATAGGCAAAAGATTTAAATAGACATTTCACAAAAGAAGATATTTGAATGGACATGAAATACTGTTGTGAGCTGCATAATGACATTTTGGCCAACAATGTACCACATATATGATGGTGGTCCCATAAGATTATAATGAAACTGAAAAATTCCTATTGCCTGATGACATCATAGCCTTCCTAGCACAAAGTATTGCTCATGTGTTTTTGGTGTTGCTGGTATAAACAAACCTAATTGTATAGCACATACAATTATGTATGTATATGTAACTATGTATAATACTTGATAATAATAATAAACAACCATATTGTTAAAAAAAAAAAAAAGCTAATTTTTTTTTTTTTTTAGAAAACCACCACCTGGCTGGGTGTGATGGCTCACACCTGTAATCCCAGCACTTTGGGAGGGTGAGGCGGGCGGATCATCTGAGGTCAGGAGTTCGACACCACCCTGGCCAACATGGTGAAACCCCATCTCTACTAAAAATACAAAATGTGGCGTAGTGGTGGGTGCCTGTGATCCCAGCTACTTGGGAAGCTGAGGCTGGAGAATCACTTGAACCCAGGAGGTGGAGGTTGCAGTGACTGGAGATTGCACCACTGCACTCCAGCCTGGGTGACAAGAGCGAAACTCCGTCTCAAAACAGATAAAAAAAAAAAAAACCCACCACCTGTGATGGGTGAGGGAAGCAAAGTGTAAGCCACTGCGCCTGGCCCACAGGCATTGTTTTTGAGGACATTCCTCAGTCATACCCCTGCATACAAATATCTATCTCAGAATCTGTGTCATGGAGAAACTGACTGAGGACACATCTGCTCCTAGGACGTAGAGACACGGTCTGCAGACAACCCCTTGTAGGCAAGGATTGTGATGGGGATCACCCCTCCTTCCAGCCTCCTACCGAGACAAGCAGTGTCTGAGTGGGGCTTGGAAGAGTTCATAGATGATGCTGCATCCCGGATGCAGACTGAGATCACTCTCCAGTTAGAGAACCGGACAGTTACCTGTTACCACCAGATCCAGCAAGTTGCTGGGCTCTGACCAGAGCTCCCCAACCCGATAGATGCAGCTGTATTGCCCTGCCATGCGGGAGTTCATGTCCGGGATGTAGAATTGGACTTTGTTAATCCGCTCAGGGGGTTTTGGTCTGTCCACGGCAAAAAGGCTTCCTTCAAAGTGCAGCTGGTATTCAACAGCCCCATAATTTCCCTGGCAACAGATGGTCACTTGCTTTTCCTTTGGAACCATGAAATGGGGCTCGGCCCAGATGAACGGTTTTGGGAGAGTCTCTGGAAGGGAATCAGAGGCTGGAGTTCCAGCGGAGCCCCCTCCCCCCAACCTTAGGCTCCACCCAGCTGCTGGCCCCAAGCTCTCCTGGGAAGCCAGCACCCTGTCCCCTCACCCCAGCCGTGCTTGGGTGGAAGGAGCTTGGCCTGAATCCGGAAGAGTGACCCTGGGCTTTGAAGGAAGGACTCACGCTGCTGGGCGCTGATCCTCTGACTCAGACACAGCCCTGGAAGACGGGAGTAATGAGACCTGTTGCCTCCCAGGCACACCGTGATCCCATTCCCCTTCCACGCCAGAACTCACCGACGCAGAGCAGGGCAGGGAGTGTGGAAGACATCGCTCAGATTCTGCCGGCCTAGTGCTGAGCAGTGGGGACTGAGCCGGGCGGGCCAGGGAGATAGATACACAGGAAGTGGTGGGTGAGCACCAGCGCCCATCACCAGAGCGCTTTCACGTTGACTGCTTTCATCAGAACGTTCACAACTCCCCTCCGCCTCTGACCATGAGCTTACAGAAAGGCCGTGGTCCCTCTGACACATCTGTGGTCTAGCCAGCAACTCTGACAATTGTCTGCTCAGCCCAAAATGCATTTCTGGGTCAACTTCTCAATTCTGCAATGTGGAGGTCGTACCCAGAGCTGACTGTGGGAAGTTGTGCCCAATCATGCCCAGAGGAAACCCCCTGAGAATCGTATAAAAACATAGGGAGTTTCACAGTGAGATACTGGAACAGGAATTAAAAGAAATTACAGAATGTGTAAACAAAAACTCAGTTGTATTTAAGAAAACCCAGTTCCCCCCGAGGAAGAGAAAGAGGTGGAGTCCTTTAAACATGAACTGCCTGTTTTTCTGTCTGTGGCTAGTGAGCCTTATCTCTCCCTTTCCCAGGCATTGTGAAGACCCTGTTTCTCTTGCCGTGCGGCTGCAAGGTCACTAGACAGGATAACCTCAAGTCGTAAAACATATTTTTCTTGAAAAGTAAGGAATAATGTGATGCATGTCTCAATTGAATAACTGCCTTTGTTTCTTGCTTCTGTAATATGCTTCCCCCTGCACAGATCTCCCCCAACCCCACAAAATGCTTAAAAGGTAACCGGACTCTCTGTTCGAGCCTCAGTCTTTTTGGATGTTAATCTGACTGGGGCCGGTGCACCTAAATAATAATAATAATAATAAATCCTCCTCAACCCCTCGGTCTCTCTGATTCCTAAATTATCCCTCAACAATACCATCTCACACCAGTCAGAATGGCCATTACTGAAAAGCCAGAAATTAACAGATGCTGGTGAGATTGTGGAGCAAAGGGGACACTTATACACTGTTGGTGGGTGTAAATTAGTTCAGCCACTGTGGAAAGCAGTTTGGTTTGGAGATATTTCAGAGAACTACAAACAGAGTTACCATTCAGCCCAGCAATCCCATCGCTGGGTATATAGCCAAAGGAAAATAAATCATTCTACCAAAAAGACACATGCACTTGTATGTTCATTGCAGCAGGATTCACAATAGTGAAGACATGGAATCCACCCAGGTCCCATCAGAGGTGGACTGGATAAAGACAATGTGATATGTATACACCACAGAACGCTATACAGCCTTGAAAAATCACAAGATTATGTCCTTTGCAGCAACATGGATGCAGCTAGAGGCCATTATCCTAAGCGAGTTAACACAGAAACAGAAAACCAAATACTGGCCAGACACGGTGGCTCAGGCCTGTCATCCCAGCACTTTGGGAGGCTGAGGCAGGTGGATCACCTTAGGTCGGGAGTTCGAGACCAGCCTGACCAACATGCAGAAACCCTGTCTCTACTAAAAATTCAAAATTAGCCGGGTGTGGTGGCACATGCCTGTAGTCCCAACTACTCGGGAGGCTGAGGCAGGAGAATTGCTTGAACCTGGAAGGTGAAGGTTGCAGTGAGCCGAGATGGTGCCATTGTACTCCAGCCTGGGCAACAAGAGTGAAACTCCATCTCAAAAAAAAAAAAAAAAAAGAAAAGAAAACCAAATACCACATGTTCTCACTTATAAGTGAGAGCGCTAAACATTGGGTAAGGAGGGGAGCAAGGCTTGAAAATCTACCTATTTGGTGACTAGATCATTAATGCAAGCCTCAGCATCATGCAATATACTCATAAAAAACCTGCACATGTATCTGCTGAATCTAAAAAGATAAAAATAGGGGTTTTGACGTTGGCTTCTCTGTGTACAGTATACATATGCTTGGATAAGTTAATTGGTTTCATCAGAATGGAATGATAACACTATCTTCTTCAAAGATAGTGTTATAATGTTTCAATAAAATAAAAGTGAAAAGAAAAGCTTTTCATTTAAAGAACTTAATAAGAAAAGAAACATTTCTTTTCTTTTTCTTTTTCTTTCTTTTTTTTTTTTTTTTTTGAGACAGAGTCTTGCTCTGTTGCCCAGGCTGTGGTGCAGTGGTGTGATCTCAGCTCACTGCAACCTCTGCCTTGTGGGTTCAAGCAATTCTCCTGCCTCAGCCACCTGAGTAGCTGGGACTACAGACACCCAACACCACGCCCAGCTCATTTTTGTACTTTTAGTAGAGACCGGTTTTTACCACGTTGGCCAGGATGGTCTCCAACTCCTCACCTCAAGTGAATCTTCCTGCCTCGGCCTCTCAAAGTGCTGGGATTACAGGTGTGAGCCACCACACCCAGCCAAGAAACATTTCTTTTAAGTAAGTAACTAACTCTCCACTTAATAAAAAAAAATTCTATGCAGAAGTTGTTAAGATCTACAGTAAGAAAAAAGAAATTCATGCATTTTATATATACACACATATATACATATATACCTTTTATATATATACACATATATACATTTATACATATATGTATACATATATACATATATGTGTATATATACTGCATAGTACCGTACATGTATATATACACATGCATATATACACATACATGTATATGCGTATATATACACATATATGTATATATACACACATGCATACATGCATATATATGTATACACACATGTATGCGTGTATACATACATATATGTATATACATACATGTATCCGTGTATACATACATATATGTATATACATACATGTATGCGTGTATACATACATGTATGCGTGTATACATACATATACATATATGTATATACATACATGTATATATACATGTATGTATATATGCATATATGTATATACATACATGTATATATACATGTATGTATACATATACGTATATGTGTATATATGTATATACATATATATATACATGTAAGGTACTATGTAGTTTTCAGCATCCACTGGGGCCTTGGAATATATCCTGGTGGATACATGTGACTACTGTACAAGACTAGTTGTATCTTCTTGAGGCAAACAAATGTGCTAATTCTTTTTTTTTTCTCTTTAAGACGGAATCTCACTCTGTCCCTCAAGCTGGGGTGCAGTGGTGCAATCTCAGCTCACTGCAACCTTCACCTCCTGGGTTCAAGCAATTCTCCTGTTCTAGCCTCCCAAGTAGCTGGGATTACAGGCGTGTGCCACCACACTCGACTAATTTTTGTATTTTTAGTAGAGACAGGGTTTCCCCATGTTGGCCAGGCTAGTCTCGAACTCTTGACCTCAAGTGATCAGCCCACTTTAGCCTCCCAAAGTGCTGGGATTACAGGCGTGAGCCACCACACCCAGCCCGCCTCCTTCTTATTTACTGAAGATTCAGTACTCGGTGCTGGCGTTTCCCCTTACACAGCTGTCATAACTCTGGGTGTTTTCTTTATCCTTCCCCCTACGGAGCGCTTGGATGCCCTCTATGGAGGAGACTTATGTAGGCTGGATCCTCAGACCTCAGCCACCCTCTCAGCCATAACATAGTTACCTTCACCAAAGAAATATAAGAATATTGTCTTTTATTATTTTGAGCTTTTAATTTTGACATAATTCCAGACTTGCAAAAATAGTTTAAAGAATTTCTGGCCAGGTGCAGTGGCTCACACCTGTAATCCCAGCACTTTGGGAGGCCGAGGTGGGTGGATTGCTTGAGACGAGCCTGGGGGAAAAAAAAATGCAAAAATTAGCCAGGTGTGGTGCTGTGCGCCTATAGTCCCAGCTACTTGGGAGGCTGAGGTGAGAGGGTCATCTGAGCCCAGGGAGGTAGAAGCTGCAGTGAGCCATGATCGTGCCACTGCACTCTAGCCTGGGTGACAGAGTGTTACCCTGTCTATAAAAAAAAAAAAAATCTGTAATTTCTTCATCCAGATTTCCCCAAAGTTAGCATTTTACCACATTTGCTTCATCATTCAGCCTCTCTCCCTCTCCCTCTCTCCCCGAAGAAAGTGTGTCTAATTTGCATATGATGCCCTAAACCTCTAATCACTTCAGGTTATATTTCCCAAAACCAAGGACATTCTGTTATTAATGTTCAAGGTCAAGAAATAGCACTGATATGACACTATTGTCTGATCTATCCACTTTATTCAAATTTCACCACTTGTTTTACCAGTGACATATATTTGGTTTAGGATTTAATCCAAGATTACACAATTTATTTAATTGTCATGTCTCTCTTATTTGGAGATGGAATCTTGCTCTGTAGCCCAGGCTGGAGTGCAATGGTGTGATCTCAGCTCACTGCAACCTCCGCCTCCTGGGTTCAAGCAATTCTCTTGCCTCAGCTTCCTGAGTAGCTGGGATTAGAGGCACCCACAACCACGCCCAGCTAATTTTTGTATTTCTAGTAGAGATGGGGTTTCGTCAAGTTGGCCAGGCTGGTTTTGAACTCCTGAACTCAACTGATCCACCTGCCTCAGCCTCCCAAAGTGCTGGGATTAGAGGCATGAGCCACCACGCCCAGCCTCCTTTAAAAAATAAAACTATAGACTTTATTCTGATTTCACCAGTTTTTCCACTAGCATCCTTTCTTCGCTCCAGGAGCTCCAGTGATCCGCCTGCCTCAGCCTCCCACCTGCCTCGGCCTCCCAAGGTATTGGGATTACAGGTGTGAGCCATCTGGATCTATTTAATTCAGCCTTAAGCCCACACCAGCATTCCTGGGACTGTCCCCCCTCTACAGACTCTAAGCCATGTTTGAGATGATGAATTTCAAGTCGTGATTCAATCACTTAAGTGGTAAGTGACACAGAGGATATTACTAATCTTTTTTTTTTTTTTTTTTTTTTTTGAGATGGACTCTCGCTCTGTCACCCATGCTGGAGTGCAGTGGCGCAATCTCGGCTCTCTGCAAGCTCTGCCTCCGGGGTTTATGCCATTCTCTTGCCTCAGCCTCCTGAGTGGCGCAATCTCGACTCACTGCAAGCTCTGCCTCCCGAGTTTATGCCATTCTCCTGCCTCAGCCTCCTGAGTAGCTAGGACTACAGGTGCCCACCACCACGTCCGGGTAATCTTTTTTTTTTTTTTTCAAAGTAGAGATGGGGTTTCACCATGTTAGCCAGGATGGTCTCCATCTCCTGACCTCGTGATCCGCCCTTCTCGGCCTCCCAAAGTGCTGGGATTACAGGCGTGAGCCACCGCACCCGGCCTTTTTTTGGTATTTAAAAATATAACTTTATTGAGATATAATTTACATGCCATACAATTACCCATTAAAAGTGCATAATTCAATGGTTTAAATTTTGTGGTATTCACGGAGTTGGTGCAACCGTCAACACAGTCTAATTTTAGAATGTTGTCATCACTGCCCTTCAGAACCCCATGCCGACCAGCTGCCCATCACCACGATCCCCTCACTCTCCCGGCCCTAGGCAACCACTCATCTTCTGTCTCTAAACACCAGAAGGTACTTTTCAAAAATTGTGGCAAAATACACATAACATACATTTTAATATTTAAGAAGTTTTCTAAGGCCAGGTGCAGTGGGTCATGCCTGTAATCCCAGCACTTTGGGAGGCCGAGGTGTGCGGATCACCAGGTCAGGTGATCCAGACTGTCAGGCCTCTGAGCCCAAGCTAAGCCATCATATCCCCCTGTGGCCTGTATGTACACATCCAGATGGCCGGTTCCTGCCTTAACTGATGACATTCCACCACGAAAGAAATGAAAATGGCCTGTTCTTGCCTTAAGTGATGACATTATCTTATGAAATTCCTTCTCCTGGCTCATCCCGGCTCAAAAGCTCCCCTACTGAGCACCTTGTGAACCCCACTCCTGCCCGCCAGAGAACAACCCCCTTTTGACTGTAATTTTCCTTTACCTACCCAAATCCTATAAAACGGCCGCACTCCTATCTCCCTTTGCTGACTCTCTTTCTGGACTCAGCCCGCCTGCACCCAGGTGAAATAAACAGCCTTGTTGCTCACACAAATCCTGTTTGGTGGTCTCTTCACACGGACGTGAGTGAAATTTGGTGCCATAACTCGAATCAGGGGATCTTCCTTAGGAGATCAATCCCCTGTCCTCCTGCTCTTTGCTCCATGAGAAAGATCCACCTACGACCTCTCGTCCTCAGACCAACCAGCCCAAGGAACATCTCACCAATTTTAAATCCAGTAAGCAGCCTCTTTTTACTCTCTTCTCCAACCTCTCTCACTATCCCTCAACCACTTTCTCCTTTCCACTCTTCAATCTCTCCCTTCTCTTAATTTCAGTTCCTTTCCTTTTCTGGTAGAGACAGGAGACGCGCTTTATTCGTGGACCCAAAACTCCAGCGCCGGTCATGGACTCGGGAAGGCAGCCTTCCCTTGGTGTTTAATCACGCGGGGACACCTCTCTGATTATTCACCCACGTTTCAGAGGTGTCTGACCACATGGGGATGCCTGCCTTGGTCCTTCACCCTTAGTGGCAAGTACTGCTTTTCTGGGGGGGCAAGAACCCCCAACTCCTTCTCTGTGTCTCTACCCCTTCTCTGCTTTTCTGGGGGGGCAAGAACCCCCCAACCCCTTCTCCTTCACCCTTAGTGGCAAGTACCGCTTTTCTAGGGGGCAAGAATCCCCCGATCCCTTATTTCTGTGCCCTGACGTCTTATCTCTGCACCCCGATCCCTTATTTCCACACCCCGACCTCTTGTCTCTGCACCCCAATCCCTTACTTCTGTGCCCTGACCCCTTTCCCGCTTTTCTGGAAGGTAAGAACCCCTGAACCCCTTCCCTCCATGTCTCTACTCTCTCTTTTCTCTGTGCTTGCCTCCTTCAGTATGGGCAACCTTCCACCCTCCATTCCTCCTTCTTCTCCCTTAGCCTGTGTTCTTAAAAACCTAAAACCTCTTCAACTCACACCTGACCTAAAACCTAAATGCCTTATTTTCTTCTGCAATGCTGCTTGACCCCAATACAAACTTGACAGTGGTTCCAAATAGCCAGAAAACGGCACTTTCAATTTTTCCATCCTACAAGATCTAAATAATTCTTGTTGTAAAATGGGCAAACGGTCTGAGGTGCCTGACATCCAGGCATTCTTTTACACATCGGTCCCTCCCTAGTCTCTATGCCCAGTGCAACTCGTCCCAAATCTTCCTTCTTTCCCTCCCGCCTGTCCCGTCAGTCCCAACCCCAAGCATCGCTGAGTCTTTCTAATCTTCCTTTTCTACAGACCCATCTGACATCTCCCCTCCTCGCCAGGCCGAGCTGGGTCCCAATTCTTCCTCAGCCTCCGCTCCTCCACCCTATAATCCTTTTATCACCTCCCCTCCTCACACCCGGTCCAGCTTACAGTTCCATTCCATGACTAGCCCTCCCCCAACTGCCCAGCAATTTCCTCTTAAAAAGGTGGCTGAAGCTAAAGGCATAGTCAAGGTTAATGCTCCTTTTTCTTTATCTGACCTCTCCCAAATCAGATAGTGTTTAGGCTCTTTTTCATCAAATTTAAAAACACAGCCCAGTTCATGGCTCATTTGGCAGCAACCCTGAGACGCTTTACAGCCCTAGACCCTAAGTCAAAAGGCCGTCTTATTCTCAATATACATTTTATTACCAAATCTGCTCCCAACATTAAATAAAGCTCCAAAAATTAAATTCTGTCCCTCAAACCCCACAACAAGACTTAATTAACCTCGCCTTCAAGGTGTACAGTAATAGAGTAGAGGCAGCCAAATAGCAACATATTTCTGAGTTGCAATTCCTTGCCTCCACTCCAGTATCCAGATGAGACAAACCCCAGCCACATCTCCAGCACACGAGAACTCCAAACGCCTGAACCGCAGCTGCCAGGGGTTCCTCCAGAACCTCTTCCCCCAGGAGCTTGCTACAAGTACTGGAAATCTGGCCACTGGGCCAAGGAATGTCCACAGCCTGGGATTCCTCCTAAGCCGCATCCCATCTGTGCGGGACCCCACTGAAAATCGGACTGTTCAACTCACCTGGCAGCCACTCCCAGAGCAGCTAGAACTCTGGCCCAAGGCTCTCTGACTCCTTCCCAGATCTTCTCGGCTTAGCAGCTGAAGACTGACACTGCCCGATCCCGATCGCCTCGGAAGCCTACAGGACCATCACAGACAGTCTAGGTAACTCTCACAGTGGAAGGTAAGCCCGTCCCCTTCTTAATCAATATGGAGGCTACCCACTCCACATTACCTTCTTTTCAAGGGCCTGTTTCTCTTGCCTCCATAACTGTTGTAGGTATTGACAGCTAGGCTTCTAAACCTCTTAAAACTCCCCAACTCTGGTGCCAACTTAGACAATACTCTTTCAAGCACTCCTTTTTAGTTATCCCCACCTGCCCAGTTCCCTTATTAGGCTGAGACACTTTAACTAAATTATCTGCTTCCCTGACTATTCCTGGACTACAGCTATATCTCATTGCTGCCCTTCTTCCCAATCCAAAGCCTCCTTTGTGTCCTCCTCTTGTATCCCCCCACCTTAACCCACAAGTATAGGATACCTCTACTCCCTCCTTGGTGACCAATCATGCACCCCTTACCATCTCATTAAAACCTAATCAACCTTACCCCGCTCAATGCCAATATCCCATCCCACAGCATGCTTTAAAAGGATTAAAGCCTGCTACAGCATGGCCTTTTAAAGCCTATAAACTCCCCTTACAATTCTCCCATTTTACCTGTCCTAAAACCAGACAAGGCTTACACATTAGTTCAGGATCTGCACCTTATCAACCAAATTGTTTTGCCTATCCACCCCGTAGTGCCAAACCCATATACTCTCCTATCCTCAATACCTGCCTCTACAACCCATTATTCTGTTCTGGATCTCAAACATGCTTTCTTTACTGTTCCTTTGCACCCTTCATCCCAGCCTCTCTTCGCTTTCACTTGGACTGACCCTGACACCGATCAAGCTCAGCAAATTACCTAGGCTGTACTGCTGCAAGGCTTCACAGACAGCCCCCATTACTTCAGTCAAGCCCAAATTTCTTCCTCCTCTGTTACCTATCTCGGCATAATTCTCATAAAAACACACGTGCTCTCCCTGCCAATCGTGTCCTAGTGATCTCTCAAACCCCAGCACCTTCTACAAAACAACAACTCCTTTCCTTCCTAGGCATGGTTAGCGTGGTCAGAACTCTTACACAAGAGCCAGGACCGCACCCTGTAGCCTTTCTGTCCAAACAACTTGATCTTACTGTTTTAGCCTAGCCCTCACGTCTGTGAGCAGCGGCTGCCGCTGCTTTAATAGTTTTAGAGGCCCTCAAAATCACAAACTATGCTCAACTCACTCTCTACAGTTCTCATAACTTCCAAAAATCTATTTTCTTCCTCACACCTGACGCATATACTTTCTGCTCCCCGGCTCCTTCAGCTGTACTCACTCTTTGTTGAGTCTCCCACAATTACCATTGTTACTGGCCCATACTTCAATCCGGCCTCCCACATTATTCCGGATACCACACCTGACCCCCATGACTGTATCTCTCTGATCCACCTGACATTCACCCCATTTCCCCACATTTCCTTCTTTCCTATTCCTCACCCTAATCACATTTAGTTTATTGATGGCAGTTCCACCAGGCCTAATCGCCACTCACCAGCAAAGGCAGGCTATGCTATAGTATCTTCCACATCTATCATTGAGGCTACCGCTCTGCCCCCTCCACTACCTCTCAGCAAGCCGAATTAGTTGCCTTAACTCAAGCCCTCACTGATGCAAAAGGACTATGCATCAATATTTATACTGACTCTAAATATGCCTTTCATATTCTGCCCCACCATGCGGTCATATGGGCTGAAAGAGGTTTCCTCACTACACAAGGGTCCTCCATCTTTAATGCCTCCTTAATAAAAACTCTGCTCAAGGCCGCTTTACTCCCAGAGGAAGCTGGAGTCATTCACTGCAAAGGCCATCAAAAGTCATCAGATCCCATTGCTCTAGACAATGCCTATGCTGACAAGGTGGCTAGACAAGCAGCTAGCTTTCCAACTTCTGTCTCTCACATCTATGCTTATGCTGATAAGGTAGCTAGACAAGCAGCTAGCATGCCAATTTCTGTCCCCCACAGCCAGTTTTTCTCCTTCTCATCAGTCACTCCCACCTACTCCCCCACTGAAACTTCCACCCATCAATCTCTTCCCACACAAGGCAAATGGTTCTTAGACCAAGGAAAATACCTCCTTCCAGCCTCACAGGCCCATTCTATTCGGTCGATATTTCATAGCCTCTTCCATGTAGGTTACAAGCTGCTAGCCCATCTCTTAGAACCTCTCATTTCCTTTCCATCCTGGAAATCTATCCTCAAGGAAACCACTTCTCAGTGTTCCATCTGCTATTCTACTACCCCTCAGGGATTGCTCAGGTCCCCTCCCTTCCCTACACATCAGGCTCGGGGATTTGCCCCCGCCTAGGACTGGCAAATTGACTTTACTCACATGCCCTGAGTCAGGAAACTAAAATACCTCTTGGTCTGGGTAGACACTTTCACTGGATGGGTAGAGGCCTTTCCCACAGGGTCTGAGAAGGCCACCGAGGTCATTTCTTCCCTTCTGTCAGACATAATTCCACAGTTTGGCCTTCCCACCTCTATACAGTCTGATAGCAGACCGGCCTTTATTAGTCAAATCAGCCAAGCAGTTTTTCAGGCTCTTGGTATTCAGTGAAACCTTTATATCCCTTACAGTCCTCAGTCTTCAGGAAAAGTAGAACAGACTAATAGTCTTTTAAAAACACACCTCACCAAGCTCAGCCACCAACTTAAAAAAGACTGGACAATACTTTTACCACTTTCTTTTCTCAGAATTCAGGCCTGTCCTCAGAATGCTAAAGGGTACAGCCCATTTGAGCTCCTGTATAGACGCTCCTTTTTATTAAGCCCCAGTCTCATTCCAGACACCAGACCAACTTGGAATGTGCCCCCAAAAACTTGTCATCCCTACTATCTTCTGTCTAGTCATACTCCTATTCACCATTCTCAACTACTCACACATGCCCTGCTCTTGTTTACACTGCTGGTTTACACTGTTTTTCCAAGCCATCACAGCTGATATCTCCTGGTGCTATCCCCAAACCACCACTCTTAACTCTTGAAGTAAATAAATAATCTTTGCTGGCAAGGCTATGCTGAACCTCCTTAGGCACTCTCTAATTAGATGTCCTAGGTCCTCCCAATTCTTAGACCTTTAATACCTGTTTTTCTCCTTTCCTTATTCCATTTAGTTTTTCAATTCATACAAAACTGCATCCAGGCCATCACCAGTAATTCTAAATGAAAAATGTTTCTTCTAACAATCCCACAATATCACCCCTTACCACAAAATCTTCCTTCAGCTTAATCTCTCCCACTCTAGGTTCCCACGCCGCCCCTAATCCCGCTCGAAGCAGCCCTGAGAAACATCGCCCATTCTCTCTCCATACCACCCCCCAAAATTTTCGCCATCCCAACACTTTACCACTATTTCGTTTTATTTTTCTTATTAATATAAGAAGACAGGAATGTCAGGCCTCTGAGCCCAAGCTAAGCCATCATATCCCCTGTGACCTGCACGTACACATCCAGATGGCCGGTTCCTGCCTTAACTGATGACATTCCACCACGAAAGAAATGAAAATGGCCTGTTCCTGCCTTAACTGATGACATTATCTTGTGAAATTCCTTCTTCTGGTTCATCCTGACTCAAAAGCTCCCCTACTGAGCACCTTGTGACCCCCCACTCCTGCCCACCAAAGAACAACCCCCCTTTGACTGTAATTTTCCTTTACCTACCCAAATCCTATAAAACGGCCCCACCCCTATCCCCCTTCGCTGACTCTCTTGTCGGACTCAGCCTGCCTGCACCCAGGTGAAATAAACAGCCTTGTTGCTCACACAGAGCCTGTTTGGTGGTCTCTTCACACGGACGCGCATGAAACAGACCAGCCTAGCCAACATGGTGAAACCCCGTCTCCACGAAAATACAAGAAATTAGCCGGGCGTGGCGGTGCGCACCTGTAGTTCCAGCTACTCGGGAGGCTGAGGCAGGGGAATCACTTGAACCTGGGAGGCGGAGATTGCAGTGAGCCCAGATCACACCAGCGTAGCGACAGAGTGAAACTCTGTCTCAAAAAAAAAAAAAAAAAAAAAAGAAAAAGAAGTTTTCTAAGGCCAGGCGCAGTGGCTCATGCCTGTAATCCAAGCACTTTTGGGAGGCTGAGGCGGGCAGATCACCTGAGGCCGGGAGTTCGAGACCGGCCTGACCAACATGGTGAAACCCTGTCTCTACTAAAAATACAAAAATGAGCTGGGCATGGCGGCGGGTGCCTGTAATCCCAGCTTCTTGGGTGCGGGGGGGATCTGTTCTGCAGATCCCAGCTGTACGACAGATGAGACACGTCCTCAGACACCAATATTCAGTGAAAGAGCAGGCCAGGGGGCTGCCGGCACTAGGAGCCAAAGAGAGTGCAGCCCCTCTAAGCTGGCAACGCTTGCATTTATTTAGCACAGATTTAATTAACAAAGGCTTTGAGTCAACACACCTGTGGGTAATTAACCTGGTCACCGCCCCCCGCCACCTCCCTGGAGAGGGCCATCTTGCCCGAGAATGATCAAAGGTTGATTTTAGGACCATATGACTAAGCAAGCTATTTAGATAAAATACTCCGCATTCCTTTGTATCTGCGCCCTAAGCTGTTTGGCTCCTGAAAAGAGAATCTGGCTGCTTTCAGCCAAACTATCTGAAGCTATGCCAACCTCCCTGGCCTTCCAAGAAGGTTTGCTGCTTCCTATTCCTATAATTTCTTCTGCTACTCTGACTGATCTCCCACACTTGGGAGGTTGAGGCAGGAGAATCCCTTGAACCAGGGAGGCAGAGGTTGCAGTGAGCCGAGATCACACTACTGCACTCCAACTTGGGTGACAAGAGCGAGACTCCATCTCAGAAAAAAAAGTTAAAAAAAAATTGTAGGCCAGGCGTGGTGGCTCACGCCTGTGATCCCAGCACTTTGGGAGGCCAAGGCGGGTGGATCACCTGAGGTCCAGAGTTCGAGACCAGCCTGACCAACATGGAGAAACCCCGTCTCTTCTAAAAATATAAAATTAGCCAGGCGTGGTGGCGCATGCCTGTAATCCCAGCTGCTCTGGAGGCTGAGGCAGGAGAATGGCTTGAGCCCAGGAGGCGGAGGTTGCGGTGAGCCGAGACCGCACCATTGCACTCCAGCCTGGGCAACAAGAGTGAGACTCTGTCTCAGAAAAAAAAAAAAAAAAATTGTAGTAAAAACATAACATACAATTTACCATCTTAGCCATTGTAAGTGTACAGTATAGCAGTGTTAAATGTATTCACGGTGTTTTGAAACAGATCTCCAGAATATTTTCATCTTGTAAAACTGAAACTCTATGCCTAAAAGAGGAATCGTTCAACACATAGAAGTTTTATTTCAACCATTTTTGTTGTTGTTGTTGAGATGGAGTCTTGCTCTGTCACCAAGGCTGGAGTGCGGTGGTACGATCTTGGCTCACTGCAACCTCCGCCTCCTGGGTTCAAGCCATTCTCCTGCCTCAGCCTCCTCAGTAGCTGGTAATGCAGGTGCGTGCCACCACACCTGGCTAATTTTTGTATTTTTAGTAGAGACGGGGTTTTGCCATGTTGGCCAGGCTGGTCTCGAACTCCTGGCCTCGTGATCTGCCTGCCTTAGCCTCCCAAAGTGCTGGGATTTCAGGTGTGAGCCACTGCGCTCAGCCTGGGAAATGTATACTTCAGAGATTGTTGGATTTTCAGGGCCTTCTGTGGCTTGACGTCATCTGGAAAAGTGTGGTCATTGGGAAGATATTACTTTGATTGGTTGTCACTCATGCTTGGGTGTTTACTGAAATGAGTCTGATTGGATGACTTTTAGAAGCAAGGAGCTGCCTGACTGATGGTAACATAACAATATAAAACGTATGGAGTGGCCGGGCTTTGTGGCTCACTCCTGTAATCCCAGCACTTTGAGAGGCTGAGGCAGGCAGATCACCCTGAGGTCAGAAGTTTGTGACCAGCTTGGCCAACATGGCGAAACCCGTCTGTACTAAAAATACAAAAATTATCTGCGTGTGGTGGCAGGTGCCTATAATCCCAGCTACTGGGGAGGCTGAGGCAGGAGAATTGCTGAACCCGGGAAAGAGAGGTTGCAGGGAGCCGAGGTCACGTCACTGCTCCCCAGCCTGGGTGACAGAGCAAGACCCCGTCTCAAAAAAAAAAAAAAAAAAAAAGAGCATCTTCACAGAGATGAGTTGTCATTGATGATGGGTTAAAAATCAGTTTTGGTGGCTACTTGTTACTGTGGTTACAGGACAATAAAATACTTTTCTGAAGAGCTCAGGAACTTTATTATTCTGAAAACGCTTTTTCCAAACAAGGTCCTTCTGTCAGCAAAACGACTTATATGAGTTTAATCTTATCCATCTCTGGGAATCTAGCCCCATTGTGTCTCTGTAATCCAAGTCCTGGACCTGACGTAAAGTCCCTCAACCCCCTTCATCCAAAATTGTGGCACTTTCCCTTTATTTATTTATTTATTATTTATTTGTTTGTTTACTTTTGAGACGGAGTCTCGCTCTGTGGCCCAGGCTGGAGTGTAGTGGCGTGATCTCAGCTCATTGCAAGCCCCGCCTCCCAGGTTCACGCCATTCTCCTGCCTCAGCCCCTGGAGTAGCTGGGACTACAGGCACCTGCCACCACACCTGGTGAAAAAAATCAGAACAAACTGAAGATATGGGCCAGAACTTGTATAAAGTGTGAAAAGCAGTCAATAAAGAAAGTTAGAAATACTTTGCATTTTTTTTTTAATCACAGGACCTGAGTTAAGCCAAGAATACAGTAGAAATTTTATCAAGTAGAGATAAGCTCTCAGTAAAGGATAAAAGTGGGCCTAAGTCCCTTCAGTTTCACTGGAAGTAGGACCCTTACATTTTATAATTATATTTTCATACATAAGCTACTGGACAATGAAGTAAATAGCAATCAGTGAAAGAGCCACATATGACCAACTTAGATTTCCTTGAGTAAAGTCTGTCAAGGGTAAAGCTGTGAAAGTTTATAAGAAAAAAGAATGGGGAATTATTTGGAAGACCATTTGAGTTTTGTACACAAGAATTTAATGTTTGCACACTTGATAATATATGTGAATATCATCAAAACTAAGTGAAAAAATAAATTAATGAGGTGAAACACATGCCTGTATTCCTTGTATGAAAATCCGGTAGAAATAGGGTTTGTGAAATAAATAGGGTAATCCTCCTGTAGGATTATGACTTTCACTCTTATCAATTTGTAGATGAACACAGCAGGAGGCTGAGGTAGGAGGATTGCTTGAGACCAGGAGTTCAAGACCAGCTTAGGCAACATAGGGAGAGCCTCACTTCAACAAAAAAAAATAAAGGAGGGGGGTTATTGAATATATTTGGCATGCTTACCAACCATTTATATTTGGGGAAGACACATTTAAAAATATAAAAAGAAGGCTGGGCGCAGTGGCTCACATCTGTAATCCCAGCACTTTGGGAGGCCGAGGCGGGCAGATCACGAGGTCAGAAGTTTGAGACCAGCTTGGCCAATGTGATGAAACCCCGTCTCTACTAAAAATACTGTAAAAGTAGCTGGGCGTGATGGTGGGAGCCTGCAATCCCAGCTACTTGGGAGGCCGAGGCAGGAGAATCACTTGAACCCAGGAGGCAGAGGTTGCAGTGAGCCGAGATCGTGCCACTGCACTCCAGCCTGGGCAACAGAGTGAGACTCTGTCTCAAATAAAAATAAAAATAAAAATAAATAAAATAAATAAAAAAAGAGAAGAACAATGAAGGAAGAAATTAAACAGGATATAAAAAATCAGAAGACAGATAAGATGGAAAACCATAACTTATGTGCAGAAAGGTGGGTGCAAATCGATCAGTCCTGCATAAGAAAACACCATTTGATTGGTTTGAACATGCATCTGGCCAGGCGTGGTGGCTCATGCCTATAATCTCAGCACTTTGGGAGGCCAAGGTGGGTGGATCACCTGAGGTCAGGAGTTCGAGACCAGCCTGGCCAACACAGTGAAACCCCATCTCTACTAAAAATACAAAAATTAGCTGGGTGCAGTGGTATGTGCCTGTAATTCCAGCTACTTGGGAGGCTGAGGCACAAGAATCACTTGAACCCAAGAGGTTCAATGAGCCGAGATTGCTCCACTGCACTCCAGCCTGGGTGACAGAGCCAGACTCTGTCTCAAAAAAAAAAAAAAGTAGATTCAAGCTTCTTAGTGAGCTTTTCTCTCTTGTGTCCTTCAAGTAGCTTTGTCGGACTCCACAGTCCTGGCTCCTCTCTGCCTTCACCTCCAGGTGTTTACTTGCAGACACTTGGTGTTCGTGCAAAGGTCAATCCTGGCTGACACATCTGTTGGCTCCAGCTCGGTTCAGCCACATCTGCCGAGGCTTCCTTGTTCAGTGCCGTATGGCTGTGCCAATTTTCAACCAGTATGGCCAAGAGAGCCACGAGGACCAGTCCTGCCACGGCCATGCGGATCAAGTTCTGCGTCGTGTAATCTTGGTGGATGGAGTCTGGAGACACAATTCAAGGAGATGAATGGTTGGTGGTTGTGTTCCATTCCATCCCAACCCCAGAGCCCTGAAACGGGAGCTCATTTTCCTTTTCGCTTGCCAAAATGGGACTCCCTCAAGCATCCCCTCAATGAGCTCATGCTTCGCCAGCACCACACTGATCAGTCAGCAAGACTGTGTTCACGGGCAAGGAACTGTGCTTCCCAGGGAAGTGCTATAAACTGGGAAGGAGGTGATTATGGGCAGGTTGTGTGTGTTTTTTTTTTTTTTTTTTTTTGAGATGGAGTCTCACTCTGTTGCCCAGGCTGGAGTGCAGTGGCGTGATCTCGGCTCACTGCAACCTCCGCCTCCCTGGTCAAGTGATTCTCCTGCCTCAGCCTCCCAAGTAGCTGGGATTACAGGCGCCCACCACCACCACGCCTGGTTAATTTTTGTATTTTTAGTGGAGATGGGGTTTCACTATGTTGGCCAGGCTGGTCTCGAACTCCCGACCTCAGGTGATCCACCTGCCTCAGCCTCCCAATGTGCTCAGATTACAGGCGTGAGCCATCGTGCCCAACCATGTTTTTTTTTTTTTTCTTGAGGTGGAGTCTCGTTCTGTCACCCAGGCTGGAGTGCAATGGCGTGATCTTGGCTCACTGCAACAGCTGCCTCCTGGGTTCAAGTGATTCTCCTGCCTCAGCCTCCTGAGTAGCTGGGACGACAGGCTCACGCCACCACGCCCGGCCAGGCAGGTTGTGTTTTCTTTTCATTCTCTCCTCACTTGGTGAATTCACTAAATACCTAATCACATCTCTACAACACCAGAACAAGGTGGAATCCTAATAAGAATGTGTGCAGCCTGGCCAGGCGCGGTGGCTCACGCCTGTAATCCCAGCACTTTGGGAGGCCGAGGCAGGTGGATCACCTGAGGTCGGGAGTTCGAGACCAGCCTGGCCAACATGGTGAAACCCTGTCTGTGTGGTCCCAGCTACTCAGGAGGCTGAGGCAGGAGAATTGCTTGAACCTGGGAGGCGAAGGTTGCAGTGAGTCGAGATCGTGCCACTGCACTCCAGCCTTGGCGAAAGAGCAAGACTCTATCCCGGAAAATAAAATGAAATAAATAAAATGAAACAAACTGAGTTAGCCCTTCTGTTCTCCACAGACTAAGTTTTCAATGAACCCTGTCTGGAGAACTCTAGCGAGGAAGTGAAAGCGGAAAGTGTGGTGGGGAAGCCTTTCTCTCTCCACTGTCCTGGAGTGAGAGCCTTTGCCTCTCTTCACTTCACTCTCAGTGCACGTCTTCATATTCCTGCCCGGTGGCAAGGCCCTGGACAGCCAACCCAGACACAGGGCTGGACTGGGCGGTACCTACCTGTGACCACAAGCTCCAAGGCATTACTGGGGAAGGACCACAGGTAGGGGCTCCTGTTGTACCAACCGTAGCACCTGTAGATCCCTGAGACATTGAGGTCCACAGGACCCAAAGAGAAGTTGGCCGGGTGTTCCCCACTTTGGTGCTGTGGCAGAGAAAGTTCTCCCTCCTTGGCCAGTGAAAATCTATCAAATGGGATGTGTGCTGAGCTGCACGTGAGGGAAATATTCTCTCCTGGCATCAACACCAGACCCCGATCTGCAGAGAGGAAGGGTTTGCCATACAAGCCTAAGAGAGAAAAGAGTGAGCTATTAGAAAGACCTTTTCTCCTTTATTCTTTTCTTCTTCTTATTATTGTTATTATTATATATTTTTTTGAGATGGAGTTTCGCTCTTATTGCCCAAGCTGGAGTGCAGTGGC
Organism: Homo sapiens; assembly: GCF_000001405.40. Classification (NCBI taxonomy): domain Eukaryota; kingdom Metazoa; phylum Chordata; class Mammalia; order Primates; family Hominidae; genus Homo; species Homo sapiens. Next base: position 165,240 of record NT_187677.1, on the reverse strand, counting down.
GTGATCTCAGCTCACTGCAACCTCCGTCTCCCGGGTTCAAGCAATTCTCCTGCCTCAGCCTCCCGAGAAACTGGGATTACAGGTGCGTACCACCACGCCCAGCTAATTTTTGTATTTTTAGTAGAGACGGGGTCTCTCCATGTTGGTCAGGCTGGTCTCGAACTCCTGACCTCAGGTGATTTGCCCACCTTGGCCTCCCAAAGTGCTGGGATTACAGGCATGAGCAACTGTGCCCAGCCTATTATTGTTTTTTGAGATGGAGTCTCACTCTGTCACTGAGGCTGCAGTGCAGTGGCACGATCTCAGCTCACTGCAACCTCCACCTCCGAGGTTCAAGTGAGTCTCCTGCCTCAGCCTCCCGAGTAGCTGGGATTACAGGCACCCGCCACCACGCCCAGCTAATTTTTGTATTTTTAGTAAAGATGAGGTTTCTCCATGTTGGTCAGGCTGGTCTTGAATCCCTGACCTCAGGTGATCCACCTGCCTCAGCCTCCCAAAGTGCTGGGATTACAGGCGTGAACCACAGTGCCCAGCCTCTTTTTTCTTTTTTAGAATTTATTTATTTTAGAGAGGGTCTCACTCTGTCGCCCAGGCTGAGGGCAGTGGCATAATCACGGCTCACTGCAGCCTCGACCTCCCAGGCTCAGGTGATCCTACCATCTCAGCCTCTCAAGTAACTGAGACTACAGGTGGGTGCCACCATGCCCAGCTAATTTTTTGATTTTTTGTACAGATGGGGTCTTACTATGTTGCCCAGGCTGGTCTCCTGGGCTTAAGTGATCTGCCCATCTCGGCTTCTCAAAGTGCTGGGATTACAGGCGTGAGCCACGGCGCCCAGCCTCCCAAAGTGCTGGGATTACAGGCACGAGCCACGGTGTCTGGCCACAGTTACTACTTCAGCCAGGCTTTCAACAACAGCCAGCTCAACATCCACAGTCATGTTCCCATGGACAGTTTAAACCTTTGCTATGAGGAGATGAAATGGCACTTTGCTTCTGTGGTCTTGCCTGCAATGACCCATAACTCAGTCTAGTCATGAGCAAAACATCGGACAATTTCCAGTAGTGGGAGTACCCTTGAAAATAATGGACCACTACCCTCAAAACTGACAAGGTCATGGAAAACCAGCAACATCTGAGAAGCTGTGACAGCCAAGACAAACCTAAAGATACATGACACCTGCCGGGCACGGTGGCTCACGCCTGGAATCCCAGCACTTTGGGAGGCCAGGTGCGGTGGCTCATGCCTGTAATCCCAGCATTTTCGGGGGCCGGGCGTGGTGGCTCACGCCAGTAATCCCAGCACTTTGGGAGGCCAGGCGGGCGGATCACGAGGTCAGAAGATTGAGACCATCCTGGCTAACACAGTGAAACCCTATCTCTACTAAAAATACAAAAAATTAGCCAGGCGTGGTGGCGGGCGCCTGTAGTCCCAGCTACTCGGGAGGCTGAGGCAGGAGAATGGCGTGAACCCGGGAGGTTGGAGCTTGCAGTGAGCCGAGATTGTGCCACTGCACTCCAGCCTGGGCAACACAGCGGGACTCCATCTCAAAAAAAAAAAAAAAAAAAAAAATAAAGATACATGACACCTGAATGCAATGTGAAATCTTTTTGTGTGTGTGTGTGTGAGATGGAGTCTCGCCCTGTCGCCCAGCCTGGAGTGCAGTGGTGTGATCTTGGCTCACTGCAACCTCTGCCTCCTGGGTTCAAGCGATTCTCCTGCCTCAGCCTCCCAAGTAGCTGGGATTACAGGCGTGTGCCACCAGGCCTGGCCAATTTTTTCCATTTTTAGTAGAGACGAGGTTTCACTGTGTTGGCCAGGCTGGTCTCGAACTCCTGACCTCAGGTGATCCACCCACCTCAGCCACCCAAAGTGTTGGGATTACAGGCGTGAGCCACCGCGCCCAGCGATTGTTGCATTTTCAGTAGAGACGGGGAATTCACCATGTTGGCCAGGCTGGTCTCGAACTCCTGACCTTGGGTGATCCACCCGCCTCGGCTTCCCTAAGTGTTGGGATTACAGGCGTGAGCCACCACTCCCAGCCGCAATGTGAAATCTTGAATGGGATCCTGGAACAGAGAAAGACTATCAGGTAAAAACTAAGAAAATGTAAATAAACTGTAGACTGTAGCTGGGAATGTGTCGATATTTGTTCATTAATGGTAAGAAATGTGCCATACTAATGTAAGATGTTAACTCTGGGGGAAGTGGGGTGCCAGATGGCTGAGAACTCTCTGAAGCAATCATCAATTTTTTTTTGTTTGTAAATCTAAAACTTCTTGAAAAATACTCTATTAAAAATAAGAAAAAAATCACACCAGGGCTGTGGACCCTGGATGTTTCCTTACCTGTCACTACCAGCTCCAGGGTGTCACTGTACCGGAACCTGTAGTGCCCTATCCTATATTGGCACTGATAGCGCCCTGCCTTGTTTGCGTCCATGTGGTCAATGACGAACTCAGGATCAGTCTCATTCCAAAACTTCAGTCTTCTGCCTATCTCTCGGTACGTGGAGTTTTTTATGATCATCAGCTGGGTCAGGTAAGCTTCACGAATGGCCTGGCACTGGATTTTCACAGATCCATCCAAGGGAATCACAGGACTCGATTTGGCAGATATGAAAGGCATGGGAAAGTCCCCTGGAAGAAAAGAAAGCCCAGACTGAGGTGGCTTGCCATGGGGAAGCCATTCCTTTCCTTCTCTGTGGGAGAAGTAAAAATACATTAGGGTGTGAAGAACCTACCATTCTTTATTTAAAAAAAAATTTAGGCCGGGTGCGGTAGCTCACGCCTGTATTCCCAGCACTTTGGGAGGCCGAGGCGGGTGGATCACAAGGTGACGATATCAAGACCATCCTGGCTAACACGGTGAAACCCCGTGTCTACTGAAAATACAAAAAATTAGCAGGACGTGGTGGCGGGCGCGTGTAGTCCCAGCTACTCGGGAGATTGGGGCAGGAGAATGGCGTGAACCTGGGAGGCAGAGCTTGCAGTGAGCCGAGATCACACCACTGCACTCCAGCCTGGGCAACAGAGTGAGACTTCGTCTCAACAACAACAACAAAAAAATTAAAAAAAGAGAAAAATTTAAATAATTTGTGATGCTGAGGTTTGGAGTACGATTGATCCTGTCACCCAGGTACTGAGCATAGTACCCAATAGGCAGTTTTTCAACCCCCTTTCTTCCCCCCCATCTAGTAGTCTCCAGTGTCTATGGTTGCCATCTTTATTTTTTATTGTTATTATTTTTCGAGACAGAGTCTTGTTTTGTCGCCCAGGCTGCAGTGCAGTGGTGCAATCTCAGCTCCTCCGCCTCCCGGGTTCAAGCAATTCTGCTGCCTCAGCCTTCCGAGTAGCTGGGATTACAGGTGCCCACCACCATGCCTGGATAATTTTTGTATTTTTAGTAGAAACGGGGTTTCACCATGTTGGCCAGGCTGGTCTTGAACTCCTGACTTCAAGTGATCCACCTGCCTCGGCCTCCCAAAGTGCTGGGATTACAAGCGTGAGCCACCGCACCTGGCTGCAACTGGGGTTTTTGCAGAGGCAACACTGAAGCCAGGGGGACCTCCGCAGGCATTGACCCCAGAGCAGTCGGGTGCCGTTACCACAGCCCCCGCAGAGGCCACGGGCATGGTGCGTGGGAGCAGTGAGATGGCTCCACCTGCCGTTACTCCACAAGGCTCAAGGCCAGTTTCCAGCATAGTGGCCCAGCTTCTGCCTGAACTCTGCCCGGGGTCGTGGCTGCATGCTTCCCTGGAAAGCACCCAGATGGTGAAGTGGGTGACTCCACCCACCCCTGCCACTTGCAGCCAGACGGGCCAGGCTTGCTGGGTCTTCCAGCGCTGCAGACCCCCTTCTGCCTGAACTCTGTGGGGTGTGCAGCTCTGTGTTTTTCTTTTCTTTTCTTTTTTTGTTGAGATGAAGTCTCACTCTGTTGCCCAGGCTGGAGTGCAGTGGTGTGATCTTGGCTCACTGCAAGCTCCGCCTCCCGGGTTCACACCATTCTTCTGCCTCAGCCTCCCGAGTAGCTGGGACTACAGGCGCCCGCCACCACGCCTGGCTAATTTTTTTTTGTATTTTTAGTAGAGACGGGGTTTCACCATGTTATCCAGGATGGTCTCAGTCTCCTGACTTCGCAATCTGCCCATCTCGGCCTCCTAAAGTACTGGGATTACACGTGTGAGCCACCATGCCCAGTAGCTCTGTGTTCCCCTGGGAAGCACTGAGATGGCAGATCATGTGGCTCCAATCACCCTTGCTGAGAAGGACTCACCACGTTAGGTGGCGACCAAGCCGTGAGGAGCCCTCATTCTCAGAACGTTCAGAGGGGTGAAACACCTGATTTCATCAGCCTGCAGAGGTGCGGGGTGGTCCTCCCTCCATAGGGCTGGCCGGGGAAGGATACAGCCTGTCTGCCCACCATGCCCTGCCTGAGGGAGCCCCGTGGGCAGAACAATCCTAACAAAGGAAACAGTGGGTGCAGAGCCAGTGACTGTAGGAGGCTCCTCCAAGGCCCAAGAATGGACCAGGCGAGGGAGTCACCCCTCCTCACAACCACAGAGCACTACTGCCGACTTTGTCAAAATACAAGAGTTAGGGGGCCAAGGCAGGCAGATTGCTTGAGCCCAGGAGTTTGAGACCAGCCTGGTAAACATGGTGAAACCCCATCTCTACAAAAAAAAAAAAAAAATTACAAAAATTTTCTCTTTATGGTGCTGCGTGCTTGTAGTCCCAGCTACTCAGGAGGCTGAGGCAGGAGGATCACTTAGCCTGATAGGTAGAGGCTGCAGTGAGCCGAGATTGTGCCACTGTGCTCCAGCCTGGGCGACAGAACAAGACCCTGTGTCAAAAAACGAAACAAAAAACGAAACAAAACTACAAAAGAGCCTTGTGGCTAAGATCCTGTATGCTGGCCAACCCTTTTAAGTGCCACCTACTGGATCACACTTCAAAATACAACACTGAAAAATTTTGCCAGTATACAATGAAGGGAAAAATTCAGCCACAAATAAAGATCCTGTGCAGAGTCCTGGCATCTGAAAACACCCAGAAATGAAGCCAAGCGACTGTACTCAACCGACATCACAGTTAAAGGAACACCAGCCCTCACACAAGAGAAAGAATCAACACCAAGGCCGGGCGCGGTGGCTCACACCTGTAATCCCAGCACTTTGGGAGGCTGAAGTGGGCAGATCACCGGAGGTCAAGAGTTTGAGACCAGCCTGACCAACGTGACAAAACCCGGGCTCTACTAAACATACAAAAATTAGCCGGGCGTGGTGGCACACACCTGTAATCCCAGCTACTCAGGAGGCTGAGACAGGAGAATCGCTTGAACCCGGGAGGTGAAGGTTGCAGCAGTGAGCTGAGATCGTGCCACTGCACTCCAGCCTGGGCGACAGAGTAAGACTCTGCCACAAAAAAGAAAAAAAAAAGAAAAAAAAAAAAGAATCAACACAAGAACTCTGGCAACTCGATAGTTCCCCAGAAATCTGGTTCTTAGCTACATTGAGATGAATGAAACGAGGGTTATAGAATTCAGAATCTGGATGGCCAGGACGCTCTTCGAAATTGAGGAGAAATTTGAAACACAATCCAAGGGGTCCATGGTGGGGACACACTGGCTTTTTGAGTTCCCAGAATTCTTTTTCATGTGTGGGGGCCCGGTCATTATGCCACAGCCATCAGACAGAGAGGAGTCCAGTCTCTCTTCCCCGTGAGCTCCCACCCCCACTTTACCAGGCAGAGCCCCCAGCTCGGGAGTGCAGAGCAGCTGCCCCGCCCTCAGCACACTCACTGGTGGTGGCTCGTGTTTCCCTGGGGAGTGGCTCCCAGAGGCAACTGACAGCCCCTCTGCCACTGCCATGGCAAGGGTTCTGCCTCTGCTGCCCGTGATCTGGGGAAGAAGCAAGGAGCCTGGGGCCTTCATTCATGCTTCAATTTATTTATTTATTTATTTATTTATTTATTTATTTATTTATTTATTTATTTGAGACGGAGTCTCGCTCTGTCGCCCACGCTGCAGTGCAGTGGCCCGATCTCGGCTCACTGCAAGCTGCGCCTCCCGGGTTCACACCATTCTCCTGCCTCAGCCTCATCCTCCTCCCGAGTAGCTGGGACTACAGGCGCCCGCCACCACGCCCGGCTCATTTTTTGTGTTTTCAGTAGAGACGGGGTTTCACCAGATTAGCCAGGATGGTCTCGATCTCCCGACCTCGTGATCCGCCCGCCTCGGCCTCCCAAAGTGCTGGGATTCCGGGCGTGAGTCCACCGCGCCCGGCCTTCATTCATGCTTCCAGCACACCGCAGTCGCCATACGGAGAGGAGCTCAGTCTCCTCTCCCTGTGAGCCCTCAACCCCCTGCTCTTCAACAAGCCCCAGCTTGATTCCGCGGCACAACAGCCCCACCCTCTGGCGGAGCGTTCCCAGCAGCTGTGAGTCTGCGTTTCTCTGTGGCGGAGCTCCCAGAGGCAACGGAAGGTCACTCTGCCGCTGCCACTGCGGTGGTACTGGCCTTGCTGCCCTCAGACTGGGGAAGGAGCAAAGACTCTGAGTGCTTCAACCACACCTCCGGCAAACTGCCCTAAGGAGAAGAGGCCAGTCTGTCACCCCTGTGACCCACCTGTCCCCCCTGCTCATCACTAGGCAGGGCCCCTAGCTTGGACCCACAGTGCAGTCGCCTCACTCTTGGCTCATCGCACTGATAGTGGCTCCACATCTCTCTGGGGTGGAGTTCCAAGGGACAAGTGAAAGGCCGTCTGCCACAACCGCTGCTAAGGTCCCTTCCCCTGCTGCCCCCAAGCCACGGAGGGAACATAAAGTCTGAGCTCACCCCAGAGCTGTGATGTGCAGCCTGGGAGTGCCGAGCCCAGATCTGCAGCCAGCACTTGGGTGGGAGAGGAGCCCGCACTTTCAGAGCGTGAGAGGGAGCACAGCGGCAATCATGAGGAATGACCTACTGGCCGTTGTGCTGAAGCATCATTTACCGGATTGCAGCCCAAACTTCAACACCAAAAATGCTCGCTAATATACCTCCCTGTGAAACCAAGGACAAGAATTTAGCTATAAATAAAGACCCTGTGCGAAGCCCCAGCCCTCTGAAACCATCCAGAAAAGAAGTCTACTGACTGTGCTCAAATTACATCACGGTTAAAAGAAAAAAGAAAAAAATTCAAATTGCAGCACACTCAAAGGAACATTAGCCCACATGGATGAGAAAGAACTGAGCAAGAACTCCATCAACTCAAAAAGCAACAGTGTCTTCCTTCCTCCAAATTACCACACAAGCTTCCCAGCAAGGGCTCTTTACCTGGCTGAAATGACAGAAATAGAATTCAGAATATGGATAGAAATTAAGGTCATCAAGATTCAGGAGAAAGTTGAAACCCAATGCAAGGAACCTAAAGATTACAATAAAATGACAGAGGGGCTAATCTATGAGATGGTCATTTTGAAAGAACCAAACGGATCTGATGGAGCTGAAAAACACACTACGAGATTTCATAATGCGATCACAAGTATTAATGGCAAAATAAAGCAAAATAAGGAAAGAATCTCAGAGCATGAATACTGGCTCTCTGAACTAATTCAGTCAGACAAAAATGAAGAAAAAGAATAAAAATTAATGAACAAAACCTCTAAGAAATATGGGATCATGAAAAGAGACCAAATAGCCCATTGGCATCCCCGAAAGAGATGGGGAGAAAGCAAGGAACATGGAAAACATATTTCAGTGTATTGTTCATGAAAACTTCCCCAACGTCACTAGAGAGGCCAAGAATCAAATGCAGGAAACAGAGAACCCCTGCAAAATACTACACAAGAAGAGCATCCCCAAGACACAAAATCATCAGATTCTTCAAGGTAGAAATGAAAGAAAGAAATGTCGGCCGGGCGCGGTGGCTCACGCCTGTAATCCCAGCACTTTGGGAGACCAAGGCGGGCGGATCACGAGGTCAGGAGATTGAGACCATCCTGGCTAACATGGTGAAACCCCATCTCTACTAAAAAAATATAAAAAATTAGCTGGGCGTGGTGGTGGGCACCTGTAGTCCCAGCTACTGGGGAGGCTGAGGCAGGAGAATGGCGTGAATCCGGGAGGCGGAGCTTGCAGTGAGCCGAGATCACGCCATTGCACTCCAGCCTGGCAGCCTGGGCAACAGAGCAAGACTCAGTCTCAAAAAAAAAAAAAAAAATGTGAAAAGGCAGCAAAAAAGAAGGGGCAGGTCACCTACAAAGGGAATGCCATCGAGCTAACAGCAGACCTTTCAGCAGAAACTCTACAATCCAGAAGAGATTGGGGGCCTATATTTAATGTTCTTATGAAAAGAATTTCCAACCAAGAATCTCATTCCCAGCCAAACTAAGTTTCATAAGTGAAGGAGAAATAAGATCCTTTACAGACAAGCAAATGCTGAGGGAATTTATTACCATCAGGCCTGCCTTACAAGAGGTCCTAAGAGGAACGCTAAATATGGAAAGAAAAGACCATCACCAGCCAATAGAAAACACACTTACGTACATAAACCAGTGACACTATAAAACAACCACACAAACAAGTCTGCATAATAACCAAACCAGCTAACAACATGATGACAGGAAAAAATCTGCACATGTAAATGCTAACTTTGAATGTAAATGGACTAATTGTCCTAATTAAAATGCAGAGAGTGGCAAGTTGGATAAAGAAGCAAGAGGCCAGGTGCAGTGGCTCACGCCTGTAACCCTGGCACTTTGGGAGGCTGAGGTGGGTGGATCATTTGAGGTCAGGAGTTCGACATTAGCCTGGCCAATGTGATGAAATCCCATCTCTAATAAAAAAAAAAAATAGCTGGGCGTGGTGGTACACACCTGTAATCCCAGCTATTTGGGAGGCTGAGGCAGGAGAATCATTTGAACCTGGGAGGCAGAAGTTGCAGTGAGTCAAGATCATACCACTGCACTCCAGCCTGGGTGACAGAGTGAGACTCCATCTCAAAAAAAAAAAAAAAAAAAAAAGCAAGACTCAACATTATGCTGCCTATAAGAAACCCATCTCATATGCAATGACATCCATAGGCTCAAAGTAAAGAAATGGAGAAAAATCTACCAAGCAAATGGAAAGCCAAAAAAAAAAAAAAATGCAGGAGCTGCTATTAAAATTTCAGACAAAACAGACTTTATACCAACAAAGATCAAAAAAGGCAAAGAAGGGCATTAAATCATGGTAAAGGGTTCAATTCAACATGAAGACCATAGCAGGACAGTGGCCACGGAAGTCGGAATCTGCTAAGGAGTGTGTAATAGCCCAACTGCTGAATCAAAAAGAAAAAGAAAAAAAAAATTAAAAAAAGAGCATGAAGACCTAACTATCCTAAATATATATGCACCTAACATGGAAGCACCCGGATTCATAAAGCGTGTTCTGAGAGACCAACGAAGAGACTTAGACAACCACACAATAATAGGGGGAGACTTTAACATCCCGCCGACAGTATTAGATCATTGAGGCAAACAGAGATATTCAGGACCTGAACTCAGCAGTGGATCAAATGGACCTGACAGACATCTACAGAACTCTCCACCCCCAAAACAACAGAATCTACATTGTTTTCATTGCCTCATGGCACATACTCTAAAGTCAATCATACAATCAGACATACAGCAATCCTTAGCAGGCTGGGCACGGTGGCTCACACCTGTAATCCCAGCACTTTGGGAAGCCAAGGCTGGCGGATCATGAGGTCAGGAGATCGAGACCATCCTGGCTAACGCAGTGAAACCCCGTCTTTACTAAAAATACAAAAAAAATTAGCCGGGCGGGGTGGCGGGCACCTGTAGTCTCAGCTACTCAGGAGGCTGAGGCAGGAGAATGGTGTGAACCTGGGAGGCGGAGCTTGCAGTGAGCCTAGATTGCGCCACTGCACTCCAGCCTGGGCGACAGAGCAAGACTCCATTTCAAAAAAAAAAAAAACAATCCTTAGCAAATCCAGAAAAGCGAAATCAGAGCACAGTGGAATAAAAATAGGAATAAATACTAAGAAAACCACTCAAAACTGTACAATGCATGGAAATTAAGCAGTCTGTTCTGGAATTTTTGGGTAAATATAGCAGAATCTCTGGGACACAGCTAAGGCAGTGTTAAGGGGGAAGTTTATAGCACTAAACTCCCACTTCAAAAAGCTAGAAAAAGTTCAAATTAACAACCTAACATCATAACAAGAGGAACTAAGAGAACCAAGAGGAAATCAACCCCAAAGCTCATAGGAAACAAGAAATAACCAAAATCAGAGCTGAGCTGAAGGAGATTGAGACACGAAAAAGCATTCAGAAGATCAGCAAATCGAGGAGTAGAATTTTTGAAAAAATTAGTAAGACAGATGACTAGTTAGACTAATAAAGAAGAAAAGAGAGATGATCCGGATAAACACAATTAGAAACAACAAAGGGTATATTACCACTCACCCCACAGAAATACAATCATCAGAGAATATTATGAACACCTCTATGCACACAAACTAGAAAATCCAGAATAAATGGAGAAATTCCTGGACACATACACCCTCCTGAGATCAAACCAAGAATAAATTGAATACATGAACAGACCAATAATGAGCTCCAAAATTGAATCAGTAATAAAAATCCTACAGACCAGAAAAAGCCCAGTACCAGACAGACTCACAGCTGAATCCCATCTGATATATAAAGAAGAGCTGGTACTATACCTACTGAAACGTTCCAAAAATATTCAGGAGGAGGAATGCCTCCCCAGCTCATTCTATGAGACCAGCATCATCTTGATGCAAAAACATGGCAGAGACACAACAAAACCAGAAAACTTCAGGACAATATCCTTGTTGAACATAAATGCAAAAATCCTCAACAAAATACTAGCAAACTATCCAGCAGCACATCAGAAAGCTAATCCACCACCATCAGGTAGGCTTTATTTCTGGGATGCAAGGTTGATTCGATATAGGAGTCTCGCTCTGTTGCCCAGGCTGGAGTGTAGTGGCGTGAACTTGGCTCACTGCAAGCTCCGCCTCCTGGATTCACGCCATTCTCCTGCCTGAGCCTCCCGAGCAGCTGGGACTACAGGTGCCCACCACCACGCCTGGCTAATTTTTTTGTGTTTTTTAGTATAGACGAGGTTTCACCGTGTTAGCCAGGATGGTGTCGATCTCCTGACCTCATGATCCACAAGCCTTGGCTTCCCAAAGTGCTGGGATTACAGGCATGAGCCACAGTGCCCGGCCAATATACACAAATCTTAAATATGATTCATCACATAAATAGAACAACCCTCCCCACACACATAATCCTCTCAATAGAGCTTTTGATAAAATTCAACATCCCTTTATGCTAAAAAACCTCGACAAACTAGGCATTGAAGAAACATATTTCAAAATAATAAGAATGATGTATGACAAACTCACAGTCAACATCATATTGAATGGGCAAAAGCTGGAAGTATTCCCCTTGAAAACTGGCAAAAGACATGGATGCCGTCTCTCACTACTTCTGTTCAACATAGTACTGGAGGTCCTAGCTAGAGCAATCAGGCAAGAGAGAAATAAAAGGCATCCAAATAGGAAGAAAGGAAGTCAAACTATCCCTGTTTGCAGGTGATATGATTCTATACCTAGAAAACCACAGTCTCTGCCCAAACACTTCTTAATCTGATAAACAACTTTAGCAAAGTTCCAGGATACAAAATCAATATATAAAAATCAGTAGCATTCCTATACACCAAAAACATCTAAGCTGAGAGCCAAATCAAGAATAGAATCCATTCACAATTACTGCAAAAAGAATAAAATACCTGGGAATACAGCTAACCAGGGAGGTGAAAGATCTCTGCAAGGAGAACTACAAAACACTGGTCAAAGAAATCATAGATGACACAAACAAATGGAAAAACATTCCATGCTCATGGATAGGAAGAATGAGTATTGTTCAACACACAAATAATTCAGGCTTTAGAAGGAGCTGGAAGAGAGAAGACATGGATGGACGTGGGGCTCACACCCATTAGGAGGCTAAGGCAGTAGTAGTTGGGGTGGCAGAATATTCAGTAGTACACTAAGACTGCCTCATGCTTAGTACTGCAGTAGTACTACAGAATGCTAGAGTGTTCAGTAGGGTTAGACTATGGCAGCATCCTTTTAAATGAAGTGACGGGAGGAAGTGGGTTGCTAAAACAAAATAGAATCAGCATAAGGAAGGATATTGGGCAGATGACTCCTGACTTCCTCATTCTTGCAGTTTGAGCATTCAGTAAATTACAGATCCTTCATGGACAGTCTAACACAGGCAAGGACTAACTATAAATCCAGGCCTGAGCATTAATGAGTCTGAAGGGTTTGGAGATAACAAAGTGAGATAGAAATTATGCAAGAGAAGCACAGCAGAAACAACTAGAATGGGGATTAAAATAAGAATGGTGCTTCAGGCTATTCTTCAATTTCTTTATCCTAGAGCTCCCAAGAGGGTCTAAAGGGGCTGGGAGAGATTTACAGGACACTTACCTTCCTGTGCCTGAATCCTCTGGCCCAGACAGAGCACTGGAAGAGAGAGATTTATGAAAAATCAAGCTTCCATTTCCAACCTTTACGACAAATCACCCTCTGTAATGACAGACCAGAAAAAGACCAGTACCAGATGGATTCACAGCTCAATCCCACCAGATATATAAAGAAGAGCTGGCATTTTTTTTTTTTTTTGAGACAGAGTCTCGCTGTGTCGCCCAAGCTGGAGTGCAGTGGCATGATCTTGGCTCACTGCAAGCTCTGCCTCCCAGGTTCATGCCATTCTCCTGCCTCAGCCGCACGAGTAGCTGGGACTACAGGCGCCCGCCACCACGCCTGGCTAATTTTTTTGTATTTTTAGTAGAGACAGGGTTTCACCATGTTGGCCAGGATGGTTTTGATCTCCTGACCTTGTGATCCGCCTGCCTTGGCCTCCCAAAGTGCTGGGATTGCAGGTGTGAGCCACTGCGCCCGGCCAAGAAGAGCTAGTATTATTCCTACTGAAACTATTGAAAAAAATCCTGGAGGAGGGACTCCTCCCCAACTCATTCTATGAGGCCAACATTATCCTGATAACAAAATGTGGCAGAGATACAACAAAAACAGAAAACTTCTGGATAATATCTTTGTTGAACATAAATGCAAAAATCTTCAACAAAATACTAGTAACCATATTTCTATATGGGGTTCTATCATATGTTTTCCTTCCACAACAATCACAGTTTTGAGGTTCATTCTTTATTTTTACCTTTCAGATTCCAGCCTCTAAGTCTCTCCTTGATAAGAACCTTGGGACCATCATGAATCCCAGATAACACACTATAGGTTTAATACAAATATTAAACCTTGAGCCCCACAAGCTAGCTTGGGCTTGGGTAGAGACAAAGTTATAGATACATTGACAAAGACGGCCTTTCCACTAAGGAGATCAGAATCTCCTTGGCAGCCACTAAAATCTCCTAGTCACACTGTTAAGAGACACCCTGATTATTTTGGGATTTCTCTATCTTCCCCTCTAACCCACTTTTACTCTGAAACTCACCAAGACACAGGAGGGTGGTCTGTTTGGGGTCCATCGTGCTGACACGGCCTCAGCCCCGTTGCTCTCCTTTCAATGCACATTAGCAGGATGACAGATATTCTTACGACAATAAGCTCCGCAGGAAGTATGAGGACAGAGCCCCTCGTCAGGGAATTTCCACATCTATTGCCTCACAACAAAGTGGAACAGTTCGTTGCCGAATAACTTAGTTCCAGGTTGCTCTTGGGTGGAGCCCAAGAGAAGACATATATATGTATATTTTTTTAAATAGAGATGGGGTCTTTCTATGTTGGCCAGGGTAGTCTCTAACTTCTGGCATCAAGAAATCCTCCTGCCTAAGACCTATATTTCTATTTATGTTTCAGATGAGAAACGAATGAGAAGTGAATTTTCATTAAGCCAGTGTCTAATGGTGTTCAAATTCATCTTTGAACCAGATGCTACATCCAAATAGACGGGCTTGGGACAGAATATAAGGTGGTGGATACCATACAGGCAGACATTGCCTTCACTGGGCCATTAGTCAAAAGCTCTGTGGCTTTGTCTGTTCTGAACCTATGTTTCATCTCTGAGATTCATGGTCTGAGTATATTTACTTGGACTTGACCAGGCATGCAGTATACCCTTATCCTGGAGATGATCTCAATGCCAGAGTGTGGAGGCATTTTCTCTGGCACTATTTGTCATCTCTAAAGAAAGAATCTACTATTTTATTATACTTTTTTGTTTATTTGTATAAATTTAAGGAGCGCAAGTGAAATTTTATTACGTGGATATTTTGTGTAGTGGTGAAGTCTGGGCTTTTAATATAATTATCCTCAAATAATGTACATTGTTGCTCATTGAGTATTTTTTTAACTTTTATTTTAGGTTCAAGGGTACATGGGAAGGTTTGTTATACAGGTAAACTTGTGTCATGGGGGTTTGTTGTACAGATTATTTCATCACCTAGGTAATAAGCTTGGTACCTAATAGTTACTTTGCCTGCTCCTTTCCCGCCTCCCACCCTCCACCCTAAAGGAGACCCCATTGTCTGTTTTTCCCTTTTTTGTGTTCATGAGTTCTATTATTTAGCTTCCACTTATAAGTGAGAACCTGCTGTATTTGGTGTTCTGTTCTTGTATAGTTTGCTAAGGATAATGGCCTCCAGCTCCATCCATGTTTCCACAAAACATATGAACTCATTCTTTTTTTATGGCTTCAAATTAATTTTATTTTTATCTTATTATTTATGTTATTTTGATTGTAGACTCCTGGCTATCACGAATTCTTCAGGTATGGAGAGTGAAATATTCCTAATTAAACCTTCTACTATTTTATTTTATTTTATTTATTCTTTTTTTTTTTTTGAGACGGAGTCTTGCTCTGTCGCCCAGGCTGGAGTGCAGTGGCGTGATCTCAGCTCACTGCAAGCTCCACTTCCTGGGTTCATGCTATTCTCCTGCCTCAGCCTCCCGAGTAGCTGGGACTACAGGCATCCGCCACCACGCCCGGCTAATTTTTTTTGTATTTTCAGTAGAAACGGGGTTTCACCGTGTTAGCCAGGATGGTCTCGATCTCCTGACCTCGTGATCCACCCACTTCGGTCCCCCAAAGTGCTGGGATTACAGGCGTGAGCCACCGCGCCCCACTTTATTTTCATTTTAATACATCATAACTTAGCCCTTCCAACGCCGAAGTATTTTGAAGTCCTGAGCTTGTCCCATATTTCAGAAAGCCGATCAGCTTCCATGTTGACTGTTTCATTTGTGCAAATTTAAGTGACCTTTTGTTTTGCCACATTTTGTTAATTTCCACATACATATTTACGTTCGGGAAATTTGGAAATACTACGTTCTGGAAATTTGGTGTTGATGATTGCATGAAATTGACCGCATTCTAATTTTCTTTTTTTGTTGTTTTGTTACTTATGCCTTATTTATTCATTCCTTTGTTCTCACTTGAATGGGACTTTGGGTGAAAGACAAATAATGGCTGTACTCTTAGTTGAGTATTTAAAATGCAGAGATTGTAAAGGCAGGATGACCTAATTAAAAATACTATTGTTGGCTGGGTGCAGTAGCTCATGCCTGTAATCCCAGCACTTTGGGAGGCCAAGGCAGGTGAATCACTTGAGTTCAGGAATTTAAGACCAGCCTGGTCAATGTGGTGAAACCCAGTCTCTACTAAAAATATAAAAAATTACTTGGGTGTGGTGGCGGGTGCCTGTAATTCCAGCTACTCGGAAGGCTGAGGCAGGAGAGCCACTTGAACCCAGGAGGCAGAGGTTGCAGTGAGCCAAGATCACTGCACTCCAGCCTGGGCAACACAGAGCGAGACTGTGTCTCAAAAAAACAAAAGCTATTGTTATGGTTTACAAATGACGTGGCTTTCTATTGGGAGAGAGATACTTACTAATTGTTGAATTTCAGGAACTTCAGTGGCCAATATTTACTAATGGGCTGGAACAGATTTTGTCAACTTACCACAACATTTGGTGTGGTTTTGTTCTTTTGTTTCCTCCTTTTGTGGAACAGGAATGGTAACGTAGCCATGGGGTGCTGAGATATTTGGTTAAACATTATTCTGTGTGTGTCTGTGGGGGTGTTGCTGAATGAGATTATCAATGGAATTAGTGTAATTTATAAAGCAGATTGCTCTCCCTAATGTGAGTCGGCCTCATTCAATCAGGTGGGACCTGAATAGAACAAAACATTGAACTGGTAATGTAAGATGAAGTTCCTTTTGCCTGGACATCAGTCTTTTCTGGCTCTTGAACTCTCACTAAAACATTGACTCTTTAGATGTTAAGCCTGCCAGCTTTTTTTGTTTGTTTGTTTTTTTGAGATAGAGTCTCACTCTGTCACCCAGGCTGGAGTGCTGTGGCATGATCTCGGCTCACTGCAACCTTCACCTCTTGGGTTCAAGCAATTCTCGTACCTCAGCCTCTGAGTAGCTGGGATTACAAGCGAATGCCACTATGCCCGGCTAATTTTTGTATTTTTAGTAAAGATGGGGTTTCACCATGTTGGCCGGGCTGGTCTTGAACTCTGACCTCAGGTGATCTGCCTGCCTTGGTCTCCCAAAGTGTTGGGATTACAGGCGTGAGCCATCATGCCCGGCATGAGCCTGCTAGCTTTTGGACTGTTACGTATACCACTAACTCTACTGGTTCTCAGACTTTTGCACGTAGACTGGAACTACACGTGGACTCCCCTGGGTCTCCAGCTTGCAGATGGCAGATCATGGGACCTGTCAGTCTACATAGTTGCATAAGCCAATATATAAATACCCTATCTGTGTATCAATCATTATATATCTGTCATTATCCAACTATATGTCTATCATTATTTGTGATATCATTATATATCTATCATTATTTGTCTATCAATCATTATCTATATATCTATCATTATTAGTGTTGATTATTTTTTTTTCTGGAGAACCCTGACTACTATAGCTTCCATGTTCCTGTCTCAACTGTCACCAGTCCCCTTAGCACAGGGCCTATCATAGCCATTCTACGGCCCAAGGAATTACAAGCCACATAACTACAGGAGTCACAGTGACCCAAGGATTTAGACGGAGACACGGAAGAATTGAGGCATCTATTGGTCTCTGCATATTTTGGGATTTGGGATTTCCCAGCAGGGAAATTTGCCTTGAATCTGTCTAACTGGTCACTAAGAGTTGATTGGTAGGTTCCATTCTCCGTGCACAGCATAAACCCTAATAAGCCCAAACTGACTGGCAGTGGAGACTCTCAACCCTCAATGGGACCAAACTGTGACTGGCAGTGGAGACTCTCAACCCTCAATGGGACCAAACTGTGACTGGCAGTGGGGACCTTCAACCCTCAGTGGGACCGAACTGTGACTGGCAGTGGGGACCTTCAACTCTCAGTGGGACTTTACAGCACTCAGCTGCACCTGTGTGGAGAATTTGTCTCAAACACCTAAGAAGGAAGGAGGCCTTTGTTTCGAGGAAGAAGAAGGGGAGCTGCTTCTCTATCCACTGACCTCAGAGGTACCGGAGAGTGTCCAGTGAGGGCCTTAACTCTCTGCAGTATTTTTTTTTTTTTTGAGATGGAGTCTCACCCTGTCGCCCAGGCTGGAGTGCAATGGCAGGATCTCGGCTCACTGCAACCTCTGCCTCCCCAGTTCAAACGATTCTCCTGTCTCAGCCTCCTGAGTATCTCAGATTTACAGGCACCTGCCACCATGCCCAGCTATTTTTTGTATTTTTAGTAGAGACAGAGTTTCACCATGTTGGCCAGGCTGATCTCGAACTCCTGACCTCGTGATCTGCCCACCTCCGCCTCCCAAAGTGCTGGGATTATAGGCGTGAGCCACTGCACCCAGCCACTCTCTGCAGTTTTAAAGGCCATTTCCATGAATTAGAGTATACTTAGGCACTGAGGTAAGCATGGCACAGCTTTCTGAAAATAAAGTTGAAACTTAGAGGTTTCTTTTAGCTTTATTGAGATATGATTGACAAATGGAAATTGTATATATTTAAGGTGTATTACACTTGATGTTTTGATGTATGTATACATGGTGACATGATCATCATAGTCAAGCTAGTTATATCCATCATCTCGCAGGGTTATTGTTTTTTTTTTTTTTTTTTTTTTTGAGAGGAAGTCTTACTCTGTCCCCCAGGCTAGAGTGCAGTGGTGCCATCTTGGCTCACTGCAACCTCCGCTCCCAGGTTCCAGCAATTCTCGTGCCTCAGCCTCCTGAGTAGCTGGGATTACAGGCTTGTGTCACCACGCCTGGCTAATGTTTGCATTTTTAGTAGAGACAGGGTTTCACCATGTTGGCCATGCTGGTCTTGAACTCCTGACCTCAAGTGATCTGCCCGTCTTGGCCTCCCAAAGTGCTGGGATTACAGGCGTGAGCCACCGCGCCCGGCCTATGGTTTCTTTTTCTTTCTTTCTTTTTTTTTTTTTTGTGGTGAGGACCCTTAAGATCTACTCTCCCAGCCGGGCGTGGTGGCTCATGCCTGTAATCCCAGTACTTTGGGAGGCCGAGGCAGGCGGATCACGAGGTCAGGAGATCGAGACCATCCTGGCTAACACAGTGAAACCCCGTCTCTACTAAAAATACAAAAAATTAGCAGGGCGGGGGGGCGGGCGCCGGTAGTCCCAGCTACTCGGGAGGGTGAGGCAGGAGAATGGCGTGAACCCAGGAGGCGGAGCTTCCGGTGAGCCGAGATATCCGCTCACCATTCCAGCCTGGGTGCCAGAGCAAGACTCCAGCTCAAAAAAAAAAAAAAAAAAAAAAAAAATCTACTCTCCCATGCTTGCCTCGGCAGCACATATACTAAAATTGGAACGATACAGAGAAAACTAGCATGGCCCCTGCGCAAGAATGACACGCAAATTCGTGAAGTGTTCCATATTTAAAAAAAAAAATCTACTTTCCTGGTAAATTTCAAGTATAGAGTACAGTATTGTCAACCATAGTGGCAAAGCTGTACAAGAGATCTTCAGACCCATTCCTCCTGAATACCTGATAGTTTGTATCCTTTGATCAACATCTCCCAATTCCCTCCCCCACACTGTCCCTGTAGTTCTAGTGAGTTTCCCAGACTCTGATGTCTCAATTTCATTCAGTCACTTTCCTCCAGATACATCTACCCATTCCTACTGCATCTTAGTATCCTGAGCCTTGGGGGCAGTTTCTGTGCCAAGTGGAAATGTGGAAATGAGATATTACGAAGAAAAATCTTTGCCCACCTAGACAGGGATCTGATGTTTTCCAAGATGACACATGATTACATGTTGAAATGATAATATTTTGAGTCTACTTGTATAATAAAATAATATTTTGGATCTATTAGGTTAATATTTTGGGTCTGTTGGGTTAATAATATTTTGGGTCCATTGGGTTAACTTAAATTAATTTTATCTGTTTCTTGTTAGCTTTTTAATTTGGATACTAGCAAGTTTGAAAGAATGCATGTGGTTTGCATTATGTTTCTATAGGACAGAACTTACCTGTAGATGTAAGGGAGTCACAACAAAATTACAAGCATTGTTTTTGGTGGAAATGAGAAAAATGATTACAAATTTACATGGAAAAGCAAATAGCCAATAATAATAATAATGGCAATCTTAAAGAGGAAGGAGAAATTAGAGGATTCAGGCTGCCAAATTTTAAGGGGTTCTATAAGGCCACATAAAGTGCAGCATCCTCATGAGAGTGGACACAGAGAGCCACTGAGCAGAAAAGAGTGTGTAAAATACATCTGTGTACACACAGTCCTTTTATAGTTGACAGAGGCTGCCATGCGGATTAAGGTGGAATAGAATGTCTTCTCAGTAAATAACATTGGACCAGAGGGTTACAAGCAGGAAAAAATAAATCTAAGCTTATTTTCACACCATAAAAACACTGCTAATTTTTTATCTTATTATCATACATTTTGATGATTTATTTATAAAATTGATGAATGAAAATTATATACAGTTGTCCTTCACTATTCATGGGTGATTGGTTCCAGGAAACCCCCCTCCCTACCAGACACCAAAATCTGCAGATGCTCAAGCCTGTTGCATGAAATGGCACAGCGTTTGCATATAACCCATGCACATCCTCCTGTATACATGAAATCATCTCTAGATTACTTATAATTCCTGATACAGCCTACACACCACCTCACTTGTGTCCACACAATATAGTATTTTTGCTTTTTGGAACTTTGTGGATTTTTTCTCTGAATATTTTTGATTTATATTTGGTTCAATAAACACCTGTAAACCCCACAGATATGGAGGAGCGACTGTATATTTATAGTATGAAAGATGATGTGTTGACATGTGTCCCTGTGGAGATGAGACTAACAAGGCCTATGACTCTACAAATGTTTCATCTTGGAATGACTCTGCCAGCTTTCCAGGTCTGCAGAGAGTAAGAATATCACTTGTTCATGTGATTCACGATCCTTGGAACCTCCTATGTGCTGCATCTTTGGATGGAAATTGGAGTCCCAGAGACAAATGAGGCTCCACCCTGCTTCCAGAAGCTCAGAGTCCAGGGCTGAGAACCCAGTAGAGAACATATCAGGTTATATGGACATAGTAATGATAACACTGGAAACTTTTGGCGAATAAAGAGTCACATTATCGAAACCATGAGGGCAGACATGTTTATTTGAAGAGGAGAGAGCTACACTGAAGTTATAAAAAAAATTTATAAATTTTACTGATGACAGAAGGCTGAAAGATAGTCTGAGGGGAGGTGGAACAGCATGAGGGAAGGTGGAACAGCAAGTGTGTAAGTGCCGTGTTAAGAGGGAGCCTCTTGTATGTTTGGAATTGTGAGTTCCTCAGTGTGATTGCAGCCTCAAGTAGGACTAGGAAGTAAGCCAGTTAGGTTGGAGAGGTGGGCAGGGGTCAAGTGAAATAGATACTTGTGGGCTAAGCAAAGGAGTGTGTTTTCTCTGCAGCAGGCAGTGGCGACCTTAGGCATTTGTAAGCAAGAGAGAGGCATGTTCAGATTCGTGGTGTGAGGAAGAGCGATCCCCTAAGATGCAGACTGATGCCTTCAGATTCCAGCTGCTGGTTCATTGGATCTGGCAACCTGGTTTTGAGACAGGGCTGTTGTCTCCCTAGAAAACCCCCTCAAGACCTGACTGTGGTGCTCGTGGGCAGGAGACAACTTTGGATCTGGGCTCAGCATTTGGAAGTTCCGTGTACACGCTGGTATCTGTTAGGGGTGTCTTGGGCCTCTGAGAAGGGCGACTGATTTTTCTCTGTATGAAAACGCAGTGATCCAACTGTGCGTACGTCACCTCCTGAGGGTCTTGTTCATCAGAGTCCTGGAGAGAGGGAAATGCTGAGTGAGGGAGGGTGCTCACATTTTTCAGGACTATTAGGGATAAGACTGTATCCGTGAGGCTGGGCCGAGGAGGACCTACCTGCCTATTCACTGTTCTGTCCCCCGCAGGCTCTTGGTCCATTACAGCAGCATCTGTAGGAGACGGAAGTCATCAAAACCGCTTGGAGGGCCCTTCTGGGTCCTCATTTCATGGGCAGACACCAACCCACAGGGGGAGGCTGTAGGTGCCTGAGGCTCTTCAGCTGCCAACATCCAGACTCAGACATTCTATCTCTCTGAGTTCAAGACCCCATCCCATGAAGTGCTCTCAATTGGCATCCCATTGATTCTGTCTCCCACTTTCTGCCTGTCATGGAAGCTTCTGGATGTCAGTAGCTGCAGGGGATGTGAGGATACAGTTCAGAACCAGGCAATGGTCTGTGAGCTGAAGGCAGGGGCAGGTTGTCTGGTGCTCTCTCTAGAAAGCCCTGCCTCTGTGGCTCCTCCCTTGGGCCAGGGACCATCCTGCCAGTGAGGAACACACACCCGCGTGCTCCCATCCTGCTTCCCCACATGGCCCTGAGCTCTCTGGCCTCTGCTTCGTGAGACTTACTCTTTTTGTTGGAGCACCAGCGATAAAGGAGAAAGAAGAGGAGGAGGATGAAGAGGAAGATGACCACTGAGGTCCCAATCAGAACATGCAGGTGTCTGCAGATACCTGGAGGAAGATGGGAATCCAATAAGAAGCTAATCATAGCAGTTCCTCTTTATGGATTGTCTCATTTCTTGATTGACAGGTAACCACATGGAACATCTCCTTAGGACAAGCAGCCTGATGGCGGGAGACCCAGCTTTCTCCTGCTTTCTCAGTTACAGCTCTCATAGAAACCATAGAACATGCTGAGGATACAGCTGCTTTAGTTTAGATGTTTGACCCTTTGAAACCTCACACTGAAATATTGAAATTTAACCCCCAGTGTGGAAGTTTGGGCCTATGGGAAGGTGTTTGAGTCATGGAGGTGGATCCATCATGAATAGATTAATGCTGCCCCACATGATGGGGTTAGCAAGTTCCCCCTCTATTAGTTCCCGGAGGGCTGGTTGTTAAAAAGAGCTTGGAAGCTCCATCGCTCGCCCTCCCCCTTGCTCCCTCTCTTGCCATGTGATCTCTGTGGTCTCTGCACAGACAGACCCTCCTTCCCTTCTGCCAGAGTGGGAGCAGCCTGAGGCCGTCACAGGAAACAGATGCTGGTGCCATGCTTCCAGTACAGCCTGCAGAACTGTGAGGCAAACAAATCTGTTTTCTCTAGAAGTTGCCCAGGCTCTGGGATGCAAGGCTGGTTCAATATATGCAAATCAATAAATGTAATCCATCATATAAACAGAACCAAAGACAAAAACCGGACGACTATCTCAATAGATGCAGAAAAGGCCTTTGACAAAATTCAACAACGCTTCATGCTAAAAACTCTCAATAAATTAGGCATTGATGGGACGTATCTCAAAATAATAAGAGCCATCTATAACAAACCCACAGCCAGTATCATACTGAATGGGCAAAAACTGGAAGCATTCCCTTTGAAAACTGGCACAAGACAGGGATGCCCTCTTTCACCACTCCTATTCAACATAGTGTTGGAAGTTCTGGCCAGGGCAATTAGGCAGGAGAAGGAAATAAAGGGTATTCAATTAGGAAAAGAGGAAGTCAAATTGTCCCTGTTTGCAGATGACATGATTGTATATATAGAAAACCCCATTGTCTCAGCCCAAAATCTCCTTAAGCTGATAAGCAGCTTCTACAAAGTCTCAGGATACAGAATCAATGTACAAAAATCACAAGCATTCTTATACACCAATAACAGACAAACAGAGAGCCAAATCATGAGTGAACTCCCATTCACAATTGCTTCAAAGAGAATAAAATACCTAGGAATCCAACTTACAAGGGATATGAAGGACCTCTTCAAGGAGAACTACAAACCACTGCTCAATGAAATAAAAGAGGATACAAACAAATGGAAGAACATTCCATGCTCATGGGTAGGAAGAATCAAGATCGTGAAAATGGCCATACTGCCCAAGGTAATTTATAGATTCAATGCCATCCCCATCAAGCTACCAATGACTTTCTTCACAGAATTGGAAAAAACTACCTTAAAGTTCATATGGAATCAAAAAAGAGCCTGCATTGCCAAGTCAATCCTAAGCCAAAAGAACAAAGCTGGAGGCATCATGCTGCCTGACTTCAAACTATACTACAAGGCTACAGTAACCAAAACAGCATGGTACTGGTACCAAAACAGAGATATAGATCAATGGAACAGAATAGAGCCCTCAGAAATAATGCCACATATCTACAACTATGTGATCTTTGACAAACCTGAGAAAAACAAGCAATGGGGAAAGGATTCCCTATTTAATAAATGGTGCTGGGAAAACTGGCTAGCCATAGGTAGAAAGCTGAAACTGGATCCCTTCCTTACACCTTATACAAAAATTAATTTGAGATGGATTAAAGACTTAAACGTTAGACCTAAAACCATAAAAACCCTAGAAGAAAACCTAGGCATTACCATTCAGGACATAGGCATGGACAAGGACTTCATGTCTAAAACACCAAAAGCAACGGCAACAAAAGCCAAAATTGACAAACGGGATCTAATTAAACTAAAGAGCTTCTGCACAGCAAAAGAAACTACCATCAGAGTGAACAGACAACCTACAAAATGGGAGAAAATTTTCGCAACCTACTCATCTGACAAAGGGCTAATATCCAGAATCTACAATGAACTCAAACAAATTTACAAGAAAAAAACAAACAATCCTATCAAAAAGTGGGCAAAGGACATGAACAGACACTTCTCAAAAGAAGACATTTATGCAGCCAAAAAACACATGAAAAAATGCTCACCATGACTGGCCATCAGAGAAATGCAAATCAAAACCACAATGAGATACCATCTCACACCAGTTAGAATGGCGATCATTAAAAAGTCGGGAAACAACAGGTGCTGGAGAGGATGTGGAGAAATAGGAACACTTTTACACTGTTGGTGGGACTGTAAACTAGTTCAACCATTGTGGAAGTCAGTGTGGCGATTCCTCAGGGATCTAGAGCTTGAAATACCATTTGACCCAGCCATCCCATTACTGGGTATAAACCCAAAGGACTATAAATCATGCTGCTATAAAGACACATGGACACGTATGTTTATTGTGGCACTATTCACAATAGCAAAGACTTGGAACCAACCCAAATGTCCAACAATGATAGACTGGATGAAGAAAATGTGGCACATATACACCATGGAATACTATGCAGCCATAAAAAATGATGAGTTCATGTCCTTTGCAGGGACATGGATGAAATTGGAAATCATCATTCTCAGTAGACTATCACAAGGACAAAAATCCAAACACCGCATGTTCTCACTTATAGGTGGGAATTGAACAATGAGAACACATGGACACAGGAAGGGGAACATCACACTCTGGGGACTGTTGTGGGGTGGGGGGAGGGGGGAGGGATAGCATTAGGAGATATACCTAATGCTAAATGACGAGTTGATGGGTGCAGCACACCAGCATGGCACATGTATACATATGTAACTAACCTGCACATTGTGCACATGTACCCTAAAACTTAAAGTATAATAATAATAAAAATTTTAAAAAAAAGCTCATCAGAAGCACTATACAAAAAAAAAAAAAAAAAAAAAAGAAGTAACCCAGGCTCAAGTGTTCTTTTATAGCAACAAAAATGGACTAAGACAGCAACGTCCTGAGATCAGGAGGAACGTCTCAGAACAGCCTGTGCTGTCTTCCTGTTCTTCCTGGAGGAGGACGTCATGCAGTGCTTTAGCTGAGTGCTTCCTGTGGCTTCAGGGTACAAAACCCAGGCTGGGCTATTTTCTGGCTTCCCCCAGATACACTGCAAATGAGGTGACTCCATATGTCCCGAGCAGCTTTTCTGAGCCTTGAGGGACTGGCTCACGTTGAAATGTAGGCTTCTGTTGTCACTCGCTGCTTATCTGTTAGTAATGAACCTGCCTATGTAACGTATTCTCTGTGTGTTCTGTCTCCCTGGAGTGACGGTGAGTGATAGAAATTGGCATAGGCCCAGGTGCAGTACAGCAGGTGTTTAGAGTCTTCTCTGGAAAGACTGGACTGGGATTGATACACAGTGAATGTGCTTTACAGTTTCTACATCCACAACCCTCTTGACTCAAATTACATTCTCCAAGAAAAGGACACAAAAGTGAAATCAAGATCAAAAAAGCAAAGTAGAATTCTCTTATGTCAAACAGCCAGGAAATAATGATGAAGCCCATGTGAAACGTGCTACTCTTTGTGATCTCGCGAGACACATGTTAGGCTGCTGTTCCACCTGAGAGGCTGGGGGAAAGACCACCCCCTCCACCATCTATTGCTTCAAAACCACCTGTCCTCCTGTGAATTAGTAGGAAAGGGGAGCAGGAGCTAGTGCTGGTGCTGATCTCTGATTCCAAGATCTGAACTCACTCCAAGGAGTATTAGCGTTTACCTCCCCATGATCTATCTGTATCTCCACAGGTGATTGGAAGTAGGGGTGAGGTGGGGGATTTGGGTGAGGGGGAAAGTTTCTTGTGATGAACAGAGCACTTTCCCTATTTCAGGGCCTGTGCTGGTGGGTTCAGGGGGCTTTCATATTTTCCATATGATCTCATGTTCACAGAAAGCCAAATATGGAAGAGGTTTTAGGCTGATTTTCTAATGGATAAGATAAAGGATCAAAGAAGTAATTATAGAGGAATAGAAAAATGATGATTGGAATTCAGGTGCCTGCATCATTTGTGTATATTATTATATTTATGTATTTTTTATTTTTATTTTTTGAGACAGAGTATCCCTGTGTAGCCCAGGCTGGTGTGCAGTGATGCGATCTCCACTCACTGCAACCTCTGCCTCCAGGGCTGAAGTCATTCTCCTGCTTCCTCCTCCAGAGTAGCTGGGATTACAGTCATGCACCACCATCATGCCTGTTTAATTTTTGTATTTTTAGTAGAGATAGGGTTTCTCCATGTTGGCCAGGCTGGTCTCGAACTCCTGACTTCATGTGATCCACCCGCGTTGGCCTCCTGAAGTGCTGGGTTACAGGCGTGAGCCACCGTTCACAGCCTTGTATATTATGCTATACTAGGTCCCTTCATTTGCACCACCCCTCATCTAGCTCTCCCTCCTCTGCCAGGTATTGATTTAGATGCAGGAGAAATAAATCTCAGAAATAAGTTAGTGAAGCGAGGATTAAACTACCAGGAAAAATTAAACCCAGCAAGCCTTTCCAGCCAATGATTCTACCTCACAAACATATCTTATATCCATCTACTTCATTCATTTAGTGTCTAAATCAGCACCACATTTCACCAGTGGGGCGGCAATTGCCTTTTCCACGGTCTCCTAGATTCCAGTTATGCAACTGAGCCTCCCTTATTTTCATGTCAGTCATATTAATCATGTAGGGATTCCTGGTTACCTCGAGGTGAATCCAATGGCTGTGAGTGTCAAACACACGCTCCTTGTTGCTCCTTAGTTTCCTGTGTACCCAGTGTGCTCTCCGTCTCTCTACAGTCATCTTGTCATTCTCCCCACCTCATTCCCAGCATTTGAGTCAGAGCCTCTTCCTTCCACATCAGATTGTTTTCACCTTTGTGCCTTCACGGCTGACAGCTGTGTGTGCAAAATCCTTCCGCCAATCTTTCAGGGGTTCAATCCGTGTTTTTCATTAATGTCACAAATATCTGATTAGTGAGAACTTCTCTGTCACCTGAAATAATACACTCAGCATTATCTATTATTGATTTGAAAATTTGGCTTGGCCCCGTGGCTCATGCCTCTTATCCCAGCGTGTTGGGAGGCAGAGGCTATTGGATCACCTGAGGTTGGGAATTTGAGACCAGCCTGGCCAACATGGTGAAACATCCTCTCTACAGAAAATATGCAAAAAGAGTTAGCCGGGCGTGGTGGTTGTGGTCTGTAATCCCAGCTACTGGAGAGGCTGAGGGAGGAGATCAGTTCAGCCCAGGAGGTGGAGGTTGCAGTGAGCCGAGATCATGCCACCGCACTCTAGCCTGGACGACAGAGCAAGGCTCCGTCTCAATAAACAAGTAGGTAAATACATAAATAAATAGATTTCATGCACAGATGCTTCTCAATAGATCATTCATTTATTGGTCCCCTTGTGCCTACATTTTCTGCCCTCCCATTTAACCATCTGCAAGATCAGTGTCCCAAGAACAGAGGCCAAATGCATCTTGTTCACTGTTTGTGGAAGGCAGGAGAATGTTGTCCCACCCCAAAAATGTCCATGTCCTAGCCTCCATAGCTTGTGAATATGTTATTTTACATGAAAGGAGGAATGAAGATTGCAGATGGAATTATGGTTGCTAGTCAGCTGAACTTAAAAGGAGGGTATCCTGGATGATTTCCGGGAGATTATGATGGATTTTCATCTTGGTGAACCCAATAGAATCCCCAAGTTTTCAAAAGAAGGGCAAGAAGGGAGAGCAGCATTCAGAGAAAGAGGTGTGGTAAGGAAGAAGGGTCTGAGTGATGCCATGTGAGATGTGACCAGTCTTTGTGGGCTTTGAGGAAGGAGGAAGGGTACCAGGAGCCAAGGAACATGGGAGCCTCTAGAAGCTGAGAAAAGTGAGAAGCAGATTCTTGCCTGGAACCCTCAGAGGGAAGGCAGCCTTGCTGTCACCTTGATTTTAGCCCAGTGACATGCACGTCATGCTTTGAGCTACAGCACTGTAAGATAATTAAATAACCGTTTTGTTTTCACACACGAATCTTGTGGAAATTTGTTATGGCAACAATAGGAAAAGCTTCCACACTGCACAGCCTGAGCATGGGGCTGTGGCTGAATGAGTCACTGAGTCGAAGTGTGCGTGCATGAGCTCTGTTCTCTGTTACGGCAAGGCTCTTGCTCTGCTGAGTCAGCCAGGGTTGCCTGATGACCAACAGTAATTCATTCCTTGGCAAGTGGAACTTCTCTAAAACACCCACCCTCATCAGATGTTCCCTTCCCTTCCCTCTCTCAAGCCCCCGGGAATTTATCCTCCAGTTAGGAATGCAGGCAGAAAAAACACTGCATTTTTCCTGAGAAGGATGTCAGATTGGCAATTATTCTTCTAGCTTGTAGGAGGTCTCACCTGCAGGAAATTAAAGGTAAAGAGACTTCGCTGAGCCCTTTGGTGGCCCTAGATCCCTTTCACTGTTGGAGTGTCTGGAGTTCAGAGATGGTGGAAGACAGGCCCTCATTCACAGAGCTGGGAGGTTTGAGCCAACACTTGCATCCAAGGCTTCCACCTCCCCAGGTTTCCAAAAGCAGAGATAAGAGGGGTCCTTTACTCACCAGATTTGGAGCTTGGTTCTGTGGGTGAAGGCCAACTACTTGAAGGGTTTCCTAGAACACGGGACAGGAGAGATGTGAGGAAATGAGGGTGCTTGTCCTCTACTCAATGGAAATCTTTGAGGTTGGTTCATGGCCAACACTCTGTTATCTAATGTTGGACCCTGGGAGTCTTGGGATCCTTTTCTCCATAATTTTTGTGTGCGATGCCCACTGTCTTGAGACTTGAAGGTATAAAGAGAAAACAGGAGCATCACACTACCTGACTTAGAAATATGTTACAGAGCTGTAGTAAGCAAAACAGCATGACATTGGCATAAAGAAAGGCACATAAAAAATGGAACAGAATGGAGAACACAGATATAATCCATGCATTTACATCCAATGGCTTTCTTTTGTGTGTGTGTGATAGAATCTTGCTCTGTCATGCAGGCTGGAGTGTAGAGGTGCAATCTCAGCTCAATGCAACCTCCACTTCCTGGATTCAAGAAATTCTCTTGCTTCAAACTCCTGAGTAGTGGTATTACAGGCACTGATCACCATGCTCAGCTAATTTTTGTATTTTTAGTAGAGACGAGGTTTCACTCTGTTGGCCAGCCTGGTCTTGAACTCCTGGCTTTAGGTGATCCACCCGCCTCGGCCTCCCAAAGTGCTGGAATTGCAGGTGTGAGCCACCATACCCAGCCCATTTAATGGACTTTGACAAAGGTGCCGAGAACTTACAATCAGGAAAGGACAGTCTTCAATAAATGGTGTGGGGAAAACTGGATATCTACATGCAGAGGAATAAAACTGCATCTATACCTGTCACCTTACACAAAAATCAAATGAAAATGGATTAAAAACATGAGTCTAAGGCCTGAACCTATGAAACATGTAGAAGAAAATAATGGGGAAGACATTTGTCTGATGAAAGACATTTTGTTTAAAACCTTCAAAACACAAGTAATCAAAGCAAAAAATAGACCATTAGGATTACATCAAACCAAGCAACTTCTGCACCACCAAAGATAAACCAACAAAGTGAAGAGACAACCCACAAAATAGGAGCAAATATTTGCAAACTATTCATCTGAGATGGGATTAATAACTGGAAATATAAGAAGCTCAAACAACTCAATAAAACAATTTAATTAAAAAACGAGCAAAAGACATGAGGAGACATTTCTCCACAAACAAAACATAGAAATGGCGATCACGTATATGAAAAAGTGCTCAGCATCACTCATCATCACAGAAATGTAAATTACAATCGCGATGAGTTTTCATCTCATCCCATTAAAATGCCTTTTAGGCCGGTGGCTCACGCCTGTAATTCCAGCACTTTGGGAGGCGGAGGTGGGCGGATCACCTGAGGTCGGGAGACCAGCCTGACCAACATGGAGAAACTCCCTCTCTACTAAACATACAAAAATTAGCTAGGCGTGGTGGCACATGCCTGTAATCCCAGCTACTTTGGAGGCTGAGGCAGGAGAATCAGTTGAACGCGGGAGGCAGAGGTTGCAGTGAGCCGAGATCACACCCTTGCACTCCAGCCTGGGCGACTATGAGTGAAACTCCATCTCAACATAAATAAATAAATAAATAAAGTAAAGTAAAATGGCTTTTATCTGCAAGACAGGCAAAACAAATGCTGGCAAGATGGTAGAGAAAGGAGAACCCTGGTACCCTGTTGGTAGGAATGTAAATTAGTACAACTATTATGGAGAAAAGTATGGAAAATCTTTAAAAAACTAAAAGGAGGCTGGGCATAGTGGCTTATGCCTGTAACTTCAGCACTTTGGGAAACCGAGGCAGGCACCTCACTTGAGGTCAGGAGTTTGAGAGCAGCCTGCCCAAAATTGGGATATCCCGTCTGTGCTAAAAAATACAAGAATTAGTCAGGCATGGTGGCGTGCACCTGTAATCACAGCTATTAGGGAGGCTGAGTCAGGAGAATCGTTTGAACCTAGGAAGCAGAGGTTGCAATGAGCCAAGATCGCACCACTTTGACTCCAGCTTGGACTAAGGAGGGAAACTCTTTCTCAAAAAAGAAAAAAAAAAAAAGAGAACTTTCATAGTGTCCAGCAATTTCACTACTGGGTTTATATCCAAAGGAAAGGACATCAGTGTATCGAAGTGATATCTGCACTCATATGACTGTTCCAGCACTGTTCACAGTAGCCAAGATGTGGAGTCAACCTACCTGCCTATCAGTGGGTGAATGGATAGAGAACTGTAGTACACACACACGGTGGAGACTACTCATCCATAGAAACAATAACATCCTGTCATTTGCAGCCACATGGATGGAACTGGAGGTCATTACAAAGATTCCCATTTCTCACCACATGCAGGAGATAAAAGGTGGATCTCATGAAGGTAGAGAATAGAATGGTGGATACCAGAGGCCAGGAAGGGAAGGGTGGAAGGTAACAAAAAAAAGAATATAGATGTATTTATTTATTTAGAAACAGAGTCTCTCTCTGTCTCCCAGGCTGCAGTGCAGTGGCATGATCTCGGCTCAGTGCAACCTCTGCCTCCTGGCTTTAAGTGCTTCTCCTGCCTCAGCCTCCCAAGTAGCTAGGACTACAGGTGCATGCCGGCATGCTTGGCTAATTTTTCTTGTCTGTTTAGTAAAGATGAATTTCCCGCATGTTGGCCAGGCTGATCTCGAGTCCCTGATCTTAAATGATCCACCTTTCTTGGCCTCTCAAAGCGCCAAGATTACAACCGTGAACCACCACACCCAGCATATAAAGGTATTTATGACCACTAGATTTTACTTTTAAAAATGGTAAAGTTGGTAAATTATATAGTTACATTTAACCTCAATAAATATTTTTGAAAATGAAAAGAAAAGAGTGTAGGGGTTGCTGGTGATGACATCTCTCTGTGTGGGTGAGAGGCCAGGATGGGCTTCTGGGAAATGGGTAAGGTTGAGGGGCTGAGGGAACCTCTGATCTCCCCAAACTGAGCCCAGTCTCCCCTTCTCTGGGTCTGTCCTGACCGCTTTCTCCATCTGCCTGGGTGCCTGGAGCCCTGACCATGGGCCTCCATGCAGGCCATGCAAGAGGGTTTGGAGGTGCCCTGTCTGCCATCCTGCACCCTGACCCCCCCCTCACACCCAGTCTTCGTGTTCTCTCTGCATCTGTCCATGCTTCTCCCCATCATCGGCAGGAAGCTCCTCAGCTATGGCTCTAGGATCATAAGACATGGGACAGACACGGGTTTTCCTCACCTGTGACAGAAACAAGCAGTGGGTCACTTGAGTTTGACCACACGCAGGGCAGGGCACGGAAAGAGCCGAAGCATCTGTAGGTCCCTCCGTGGGTGGCAGGGCCCAGAGGAAAGTCTGCCTGGAATGTTCTGTTGACCTTGGGCACTGCACGGAGCCTACGTTCATGGGCCTCCCCTTCCCTGGACAGATGGTAGATGTCATAGGAGCTCCAGGAGCTACAGGACAAGGTCACGTTCTCTCCTGCCTGAACCGTGGGGCCCGGCTGGGCTGAGAGAGAAGGTTTCTCATATAGACCTGGAAGGAGAAGAGGCAGTTTCCTCAGGGAGGTTCTTCCTTGTCACAGCTCCCCTCATACCTGAGCTGAGAACTCACTCCCCTGCTCTATGACCTAATGCTCTCTCTCTCTCTCACCCTCCACCCCAACTCTCTTCATGTCTATTTCCTCCTTCCGCCTTCTCTGTCTCTCTAGGTCTCTGACCTCACTTCCCCACCCCTGGGTATGCTTTCCCTTTTTGGATTGTTTTATTCTCTCTGACTCTCCTTGGATTGGTTGACTTGATCTTCCTTTTTCTATAATTCTGAGTCTCTCACTTTCTGTCTTGTTCATAACTTTCTGCATATTTCTATCTATTATCTATCTATCTATTTTGTGTCTATCTACAAATTATCTGTCATCTATATCTATGTATCATTTATCTATCAATTGTCTATCTGTCTATCCATCAATCATCTATGTATTATCTGTATCTATGTATCATCTCTCTCTCTCTCTATTACCTCTCTGTCTGCCTGTCAGTCTCTATGTATCATCTATGTATCTATATATTTATATATGTGTCTTCTATCTATCTTCATCATCATCATCATCATCTCTATGTATCATCTATCAATCATCATCTATGTATCTATAACCTATCCATTATCTATCATCTACCTATTTATCATCTATCTATATCT
Source organism: Homo sapiens (assembly GCF_000001405.40). NCBI lineage: Eukaryota > Metazoa > Chordata > Mammalia > Primates > Hominidae > Homo > Homo sapiens. Next base: position 132,321 of record NT_187677.1, on the reverse strand, counting down.
ATCTATCCATCTATCATCTGTCTCTCTCCATCTCCTTGTCTTTCTCTGCCTCTCAGTCTCTCTAGTTCTATTTGGAATCTCTGCAATCCATCCCCACATCTTTATCTTTCTCTGTCTTTGTGCCCCTCCCTCAGGGTTCTGATTTTGGGGCTTTTCTCTCCTCCCTTCCAGCATTCTCTCCACTCCTCTGCCCTCTTTTCTTTCTTTTTGTGTGTCTGTGAGTCTCTCAATCCCCTTCCTCTGGCTCATTCTCTGTGTGTTTATGCCTTTGCTTTTTGAAGTCCCTGATTTATCTCTGTGTCTCTCAGTGATCCTATTATATGTAGGATTATTTGGAATATGAGCCTCAGAATCTAGTCTGGGGACACCAAGTACACACAGTATTTAGGGGTTGGTGTTCTGGGGCCATGATATCCTGGGATAATTATGGCTCCACTGCATGGAAGGCAGAGGTGTCAGAATAAACATGGCATCTGTAGATGCCACAAGGCCTGAGGCCACAGGGCCCAACTCAGGTCAGAAATATGGGTGTCCTTGGGTTCTCCTCGTAGAAGCACTTTGTGGAGACAAAACAGAAATGAAACTTCTAACCTGTGCCAGGTCTCTGAGCAAAGTCAGCATGGAAGGACACTTCTCTCTGGCACATGTCTGTCTGTCTGAGTGTCTCCTTTACCTCTTTCTCTCTTTTCTACTTCCCCGTATGGCCCCTGTGTCTGTCCTCTGTTATGACACCTGGTCTGTACTTATGTCTCCTGTTTCCCTGTCTCTGTTGGTACAGACCTCACCGAGTCAGTCTCTCTCCATAAGAATCCCACGCTTATCTTCCTCATGACCACCTGGGGGTTCCAAGTCCTGGATCATTCACTCTGTGTCCCAATGACAATGAGAAGAATGTCTGGACACTCTCACCTGTGATCACGATGTCCAGGGGGTCACTGGGAGCTGACAACTGATAGGGGGAGTGAGGAACAGAACCATAACATCTGTAGGTTCCTGCAAGGACAGGCATCAAGGGACCGATGGAGAAGTTGGCCTTGGAGACCCCATCATGGATCTGTCCAACGAGGCGTGAGGGGTCCTCAGAGATCCCCTCTCTGTGCAGAAAGAAGTGCTCAAACATGACATCTGACCAACATTGCAGGATGACTGTCTCTCCTGATTTCAGCAGGGGCCCTGGGTGGGCCAGGAGGGAAGGTTTTCTGTGGTTTCCTAGAAAGAGAAGTTGTGAGTTTAGAAGGCATCTCTCTTTATCATCCCATCCATGGCACCTGGAATGAGTGAGGGTTCCCCTCCCAGAGGTCTGTCTCTCTCCTCCCTCTCTGTGTCTCCGTGTCTTTTCTGTGCCCATATCCCCTGGTGCAGGTCCCTCCATTTGTCTTCCTCCCTCTTCTCTGTCCCTCTGTCTCCAGTAGCCCCTGACTCCCTTCCCACTGTGAAGAGAGCCTCATCTCTTGGGCTGTTGTATCTCTTTCCCACTAGTCTCTTTCCTGCTGTCTATGTGGGGGTGGAAGAGGACAGGCTGCATGTCCAGGCTCTCAGCAGCCTGAATCAATCTCTTTTGAACAAATTGGAGTCTCTGGCAGAGGTATCAACTCATCAGTAAGGCAGACATCAGTGTCCACACACCCTGTTCCTGATGGGGATTGGGAGCCTCTCCTGCCATGTCTGTGCCTTCTCCATGGCCCCAGCTTCCATAGGGTGGTCCCTGGTGCTGGTTCCAGGAGCATCAACCCCTTCCTATGTGGATGGAGCCTGGTGGTGGCATCAGCATCCCACCCTTGCTGATCCCACGGTAGCCAACCTTCTCCTTGTTTGGTTTCTTTAATTAATTGATTAATTAATTTATTTTTGAGACAGTCACTTTTTCACCCAGGCTGGAGTGCAGTGGTGTTGTCTTGGCTCACTGCAACCTCTGCCTCCCCGGTTCAAGTGATTATCTTGCCTCAGCCTCCCCAGTCGTTGGATTACTCGTGCCCACCACCACACCTGGCTATCCTTGTTTGGTTTCCTAGCTTGTCCTTGACCTGGGTTCCTGTGTCGGTTTCCTGTTGCTGCTGCAGAAAATTATCACAAACATGGCAGCAGGAGAGAACACACTGACCCCTTCCACTTCTGGGGACAGAAATTGGATCCAGTTCTCCCTGTGCTGAAATCAAGGCATCTGCAGGGCTGCGTTCCCTCTGGAGACTCAGCAAATCAGTTCTCTTGACTTCTCCAGCCCTTAGAGGCCACCTGCATTCTGTGACTAGTGGCCTTCCTCCACCTTCAAAGCCCACAGTGGCTGATAGCGTCTCCCTCCCACTACACTGCTCTAATCCCCACTCCCCTCTTCCTCCACCTCTCACGCGGACCCTTGTGATTACACTGAGCCCAGCAGGACAGTCCAGGCTGTCTCCCCATCTCAAGGTCAACTCATCAACAACCTGAGCTCCACCTTCCCCTTCAGTCCCCTGCCCTATAACATAAATAGTCACAGGCTCCAGGGTTTACAATGTAGCCATCATTGGCGACAGTTATTCTTCCCACCACAGCACCCATTTCCCCTGTATTCAATCTCCCTTGACCCCAAATACAGTTGGGGCCTGGGTGATGGGACCCTGATGGACACCCCCACCAGAAGCTCTGGGATTCAGGAGGTGGGACAGTGAGAAGCCCAGACAGAAAGCCTCTGACCTGTGACCATGATCACCAGGGGGTTGCTGGGTGCCGACCACCCAGTGAGGGAGTGTGGGCGTGAACCCCGACATCTGTAGGTCCCTGCATGTGCTGGGGTCACAGGGCCCATGATGAAGCTCTCCTGGAATATTCTGCCGTGGAAGATGGGAACGTGGCTTCTGTCTTCTTTGTACAGCATGAAATTGTTAAACCCACGACGATAGTGACACTGAAGAGCCACGTGTCCTCCTCGAGGCACCACAGTGCTGGGCCGGGCAGACAGGAAGGGTTTGTCCTGACCACCTGGGGGAGAAGGAGGCACTGCCTTAGAGAGGAGGATGTGGAGCCACCCCTCCCTCCCTGTGCTCAGAAGATTCTCCCATTTCCGCTTTCTAAGGCTCCTACCACACCTGGGTGCCCAGGGCTACAGGAAGGACCCACCCCACATAGACATGGCGTCTCCCTACAACAAGTGTCAGCTGAGAACTTTGAGCAAGTGCTGAATAAGTGACTCTTACTAGATTTTAATACTGCAAAATTACTCACATAAAACAACACAAAGTAGACACGGCATGGAGGGCATGTCCTATGTGAATGGAATATCAGCCAATTCATGAACTGAGCCCCCTCAGAGGATTTGGAATGTCAGGGCCATGGCTGTGGTTTCCCCCCTCTTCTGGTAGAAAGACCGCAGCCACACTGCAGCCCCTACCGTCACGGAAACGCTGGAGGGTGTCAGTTATACCTTTGTCCTCAGAGGACCTGCTGTTCCTAGCACTGCTTCCCTCTCTTTCTCTGCTGCTGACACCACTTCCTCCCTGCACACCCCAGCTTGGAGCACCCCAGTCTCACCCCAGTCTTCACAGAGCTTGACTCAGGAAAGGGAAAGAAAGGCCAGGGAGGGCGAGGTCAGAAATGTGGGCCGAGTATCCAAGGGTCCCCTCTTCCTAGTTTATGAGAGACTCCCCGACAGGACTTCCCTCCTGTTTCAGAAAAATCCTCTTATGTGGGGAGATGACACCCTAAGGTTTGGGGACGGACTCACCCATGAGTGGCCAGGCCCCCTGCAGCAAGAAGAACCCTGGAAAGAAAGATCATGATAGACGATCCAACTGCAGGCAAACCAGGGCACCCTGCTGCCCCCACTGCACTGTGTGTCTTGGCAGCCAGGCCCTTGCTGGGCTGAAGGTAAACTTAGCCTCCCTGCTACCTGCTGCCAAGAACAGGGCTCTCAGCTGTGGAGAGACCCAGGCTCCAGGCCCAGATCAACACTTCCTGGCCCAGATCTCCACTCCAGGCCCATATCTCCACTCCAGGCCCCTATCTCCACTCCAGGCCCATATCTCCACTCCAGGCCCATATCTCCACATCAGACCCATATCTCCACTCCAGGCCCAGATCTCCCCTCTAGGCCCATATCTCCACTCCAGGCCCATATCTCCACTCCAGGCCCATATCTCCACATCAGACCCATATCTCCACTCCAGGCCCATATCTCCACTCCAGGCCCAGATCTCCACCTGCAGGCCCATATCTCCACTCCAGGCCCATATCTCCACTCCAGGCCCGTATCTCCACTCCAGGCCCATATCTCCACACCCAGGCCCATATCTCCCCTCCAGGCCCATATCTCCACTCCAGGCCCATATTTACACCTCCAGGCCCATATCTCCACACCCAGGCCCATATCTCCACTCCAGGCCCATATCTCCACTCCAGGCCCATATCTTTACCTCTAGGCCGAGATCTCCATCCCCACTCTCCCTCCCTCTATTCCCTTCCAGGACTCACCAACGCACGCCATGCTGACGACCGTGAGCGACATGGTGCTGCCGGTGCAGACAGGAGGCCGCGCCCCAGCTCAGCTCAGCAGCGCACAGGATGTTATTTGGCGCCCTGCCCATGCAGTTTACATGTTGACCACATCATGGGAGGGTGACGTACGCAGGCTCTTTCTACCTTGCATGAGGCCCAGTGGGTGCTCGCTCAAGAGCGGAACATGGCTTCCTGGAAATTGTTGTGACTACAATTGCCACCTTGCATCCTTCACTATGACCAGACTCAAAAGACGTCTCAGATCCAACCTCTCACACATGAGGTGATTGAATTCTGTGCTTACATTAAAGACTTTTGATGTATTTTTGTTTTTATCTGAGATTCAAACTTTTCTTCATGTGTAATGTGCAAAATATCTAAGAGGTATTATTAACATTATCAGAGTAATTGTGACAAAAAGCCATTCTAATTTTCCTGATGAGTTTCTAGTACTAAACCTGAGGCACGAGAATTGCTTGAACCTGGGAGGCGGAGGCTGCAGTGAGCTGAGCTCAAGCCACTGAACTCCAGCTTGGGTGACAGAGGAAGAGTCTGTCTCAAGAAAGAAAAAAAAAAGCAAACTAAATAACCTATAATAACAAATCAGAGAACTCAGGTTACCAAATTTTAAGGGGTTCTATAAGTTTATATGAAATGCAGCATCCTCATGAGAGGGGATACAGAGAACCACTGGGCAGAAAACTGTGTCTAAAATACATCTGTGGATACACAGTCCCTTTATAGTTGACAAAGGCTGCCATGTAGTTTAAGGTGGAATAGAATATTTTCTCAACAAATAACACAGGACCATAGGGTTACACGTAGGAAAAAATAAATCTAAACTTATCCTCACACTATAAAGACACTTCTTATTTTTTATCTTGTTGTTGTAAACTTTTTATGCTTTATTTTTAAGATTGACAAATAAAAATTATATACTGTGGTCCTTCACTATTCCTGGGTGATTGGTTCCAGGATCCCCATTCAGATACCAAAATCTGCAGATGCTCAAGCCCCTTGCATGAAATGGCATAGCGAAGCTGGGCACCGTGGCTCACGCCTGTAATCCCAGCACTTTGGGAGGCTGAGTTGGGTAGATCACGAGGTCAGGAGTTCAAGACCAGCTGGTCCAACATTCTGAAACCCCGTCTCTACTAAAAATACACACACAAAAAAATTTATCTGTGCATGGTGGCACGTGCCTGTAATCCTAGGGGAGGCTACTGGGGAGGCTGAGGGAAGACAATCGCTTGAACCTGGGAGGCGGAGGTTGCAGTGAGCTGAGATCATGCCACTGCACTCCAGCCTGGGTGAGAGAGTGAGACTGTCTCAAAAAAAAAAAAAAAATAGCATAGCAATTGCATAGAACCCATGCACATCCTCCTGTATACATGAAATCATCCCTTGATTACTTATAATTCCTGACACAGCCTACACGCCACTCAATTTGTGTCGATTCAACATAGTTTTTTGCTTCTTGAAACTTCGGGGATTTTTTTCTGAAAATATTTTTGATTTATTGTTGGTTCAATAAACACCTGTAAACCCCACAGATATGGAGGACCGACTGTATATTTATATTATGAAAGATGATATGTTGATATGTGTCCCCGTGGAGATGAGACTAACAAGGCCTATGACTCTACAAATGTTTCATCGTGGAATGACTCTGCCAGCTTTCCAGGTCTGCAGAGAGTAAGAATATCACTTGTTCATGTGATTCACGATCCTTGGAGCCTCCTATGTGCTGTATCTTTGGATGGAAATTGGAGTCTCAGAGACAAATCAGGCTCCATTCTGCTTCCAGAAGCTCAGAGTCCAGGGCTGAGAACCCAATGGAGAACAGATGGGGTTATGTGGACATGGTAATGATAACACCGGAAGCCTTAGGCAAGAAAAGAGTCTCGTTACCGAAACCATGAGGGCAGACATGTTTATTTGAAGGCGGGAAAACTACATTGAAATTATTTAAAAAATTTATAAGTTTTACTGCTGGCAGAAGGCTGAAAGATAGTCTGAAGGGAGGTGGAACAGCACGTGTCTAAGTGCTGTGTTAAGAGGCAGCCTCTTGTATGTTTGGAATTGTGAGTTCCTCAGTGTGATTGCAGCCTCAGGTAGACTAGGAAGTAAGCCAGTTAGGTTGGAGAGGTGGGCAGGGGTCAAGTGAAATGGAGAATTGTGGGCTAAGCAAAGGAGTGTGTTTTCTCTCCAGCAGGCAGTGGGGACCTTAGACATTTGTAAGCAAGAGAGAGGCATGTTCAGATTCGTGGTGTGAGGAAGAGCGATGCCCTAAGATGAAGACTGATGCCTTCAGATTCCAGCTGCTGGTACATGGGAGCTGGCAACCCGGTTTTGAGACAGGGCTGTTGTCTCCCTAGAAGATCCCCTCAAGGCCTGACTGTGGTGCTCGTGGACAGAAGACAACTTTGGATCTGGGCTCAGCATTTGGAAGTTCTATGTACATGCTGGTATCTGTTGGGGGTGTCTTGGGCCTCTCAGAAGGGCGAGTGATTTTTCTCTGTGTGAAAACACAGTGATCCAATTATGCGTATGACACCTCCTGATGGTCTTGTTCATCAGAATCCTGGAGAGAGGGAAATGCTGAGTGAGGGAGGGTGCTCACATTTTTCAGGACTCTTTGGGAATAAGACTAGCCACGAGGCTGGGCGGAGGAGCACCTACCTCGCTGTTCACTGTTCTGTTCCCTGCAGGCTCTTGGTCCATTACAGCAGCATCTGTAGAAGACGGAAGTCAACAAAAGAGCTCGGAGGGCACTTCTGGGTCCTCATTTCATAAGCAGATACCAACAAACAGGGGGAGGCCATAGGTGCCTGAGGTCCCTCAGTTGCCAACAGCAGACTCAGACATTCTATCTCTCTGAGTTCAAGGACCCATCCCATGAATAGCTCTGAGGTCCCATCCCATTGATTCTATCTCCCACTTTCTGCCTGTCATGGAACCTTCTCCTGGATGTGAGTGGCTGCAGGGGACGTGAGGATACAGTTCAGAATCAGGCAATGGTCTGTGAGCTGAAGGCAGGGGAAGGGAATCTGGTGCTCTCTCTAGAAAGTCCTGCCTCTGTGGCTCCTGTCTTGGGCCAGGGACCATCCTGCTGGTGAGGAACACACATCCGCGTGCTCCCATCCTGCTTCCCCACATGGCCCTGAGCTCTCTGGCCTCTGCTTCGTGAGACTTACTTTTTTTGTCGGAGCACCAGCGATGAAGGAGAAAGAAGAGGAGGATGGTGAAAGGGATTTTGACCACTGAGGTCCCAATCAGAACATGTAGGTGTCTGGGGTTACCTGGAAGAAGAGGAGACACCAATAAGAAGCTAATCATAGCAGTTCCTCTTTATGAATTGTCTCGCATTTCTTGATTGGCAGGTAACCACATACAACGTCTCTTTAGGACAAGCACCCAAATGGCGGGAGACCTAGCTTTCCCCTGCTTTCTCAATTATAGCTCTCATAGTAACCATAGAACGTGCTGAGGATACAACTACTTTAGTTGAGATGTTTGACCCTTTCAAACCTCACATTGAAATTTCACCCCCATTGTGGGAGGTTGGGCCTCTTCAGAGGTGTTTGGGTCATGGAGGTGGATCCATCATGAACAGATCAATGCTGTCCCAAGGAGACGGGGTTAGCAAGTTCCCCCTCTGTTAGTTCCTGGAGAGCTGGTTGTTAAAAAGAGCTTGGAAGCTCCATCGCTCCCTCTCCCCCTTACTCTCTCTCTTGCCGTGTGATCTCTGCGGTCTCTGCACAGACAGACCCTCCTTCCCTTCTGCCAGAGTGGGAGCAGCCTGAGGCCGTCACGAGAAATAGATTCTGGTGCCATGCTTCCAGTACAGCCTGCAGAACTGTGAGGCAAACCAATCTCTTTTCTTTAGAAGTTACCCAGGCTCAAGTGTTCCTTTAGAGCAACAAAAATGGACTAAGATAGCAACATCCTGAGATCAGGAGGAATGTCTCAGAACAGCCTGGGCTGTCTTCCTGTTCTTCCTGGAGGAGGACGTCATGCAGTGCTTTAGCTGAGTGCTTCCTGTGGCTCCAGGGTACAAAACCCAGGCTGGGCTGCTTTCTGGCTTCCCGCAGCTACACTGCAAATGGGGTGACTCCATATGTCCCGAGCAGCTTTTCTGAGCCTTGAGGGACTGGCTCACATTGAAATGCAGGCTTCTGTTGTCACTCGCTGCTTATCTGTTAGTAATGAACCTGCCTATGTAACGTATTCTCTGTGTGTTCTGTCTCCCTGGAGTGACGGTGAGTGATAGGAATTGGCATAGGCCCAGGTGCAGTCCAGGATTTGTTTAGAGTCTTCTCTGGGAAGACTGCACTGGGATTGATACACAGCGAATGTGCTTTAGGATTTCTACATCCACAGCATTCTTGAGTCAAACAAATTGCATTCACCAAGGAAAGGAAACAAAGGTGAAATCACGATTAAAAATAGCGAAGCAAGATTCTCTTATGTCAAACAGCCAGGAAATAGTGTTGAAGCCCGTGTGAAATGTGCTACTCTTTGTGATCTCGGGAGACACATGTTAGGCTGCTGTTCTACCCGAGAGGCTGGGGGAAGGACCACCCCCTCGACCATCTATTGCTTCAATACCACCTGTCCTCCTGTGAATTAGTAGGAAAGGGGAACAGGAGCTAGTGCTGTCGCTGATCTCTGATTCCAAGATCTGGACTCACTCCAAGGAGTATTAATGTTTCCTCCCCATGGTCTATCTGAATCTCCACAGGTGATTGGAAGTAGGGGTGAGGTGGGGGATTTGGGTGAGTGGGCAAGTTTTTTTTTGCGATGACCAGAGCACTTTCTCTATTCCAGGATCCGTGCTGGAGGATTCAGCGGGCTTTCACATTTTCTATGTGATCTCATGCTCACAGAAAGCCAAATAGGGAAGAGGTTTTAGGCTCATTGCCTAATGGATAAGATAAAGGATCAAAGAAGTAATTATAGAGAAATAGAAAAATGATGATTGGAATTCAGGTGCCTTTGTCATTCGTGTGTGTTTTATTATATTTATGCATTTCTTATTTTTATTTTTTGAGACGGAGTCTCCTTGTGTCACCCAGGCTGGAGTGCAGTGATGCAATCTCCACTCACTGCAACCTCCACCTCCTGGGTTGAAGTCATTCTCCTGCTTCATCCTCCAGAGTAGGAGCTGGGATTACAGGGATGCACCACCATGCTCGGCTAATTTTTGTATTTTTAGTACAGATAGGGTTTCACCATGTTGGCCAGGCTGGTCTGGAACTCCTGACTTCATGGAATCCACCCGCCTTGGCCTCCTGCAGGGCTGGGTTACAAGCATGAGCCACCGTTCACAGACTTGTATATTATGCTATAATAGGTCCCTTCATTTCCACCACCCCTCATATATCTGTCACTCCTTTGCCAGGTATTGATTTATGTGTAGGATGAATAAATCTCAGAAAGAAATTAATTAAGCGAGGATTAAACAAGTAGGAAAATCAAACCCAGCAAGCCTTTCCAGCCAATGATTCTACCTCACAAGCATATCTTATATCCATCTACTTCATTCATTTAGTGTCTAAATCAGCACCACATTTCACCAGTGGGGCGGCAATTGCCTTTTCCACAGTCTCCTAGATTCCAGTTACGCACCTGGGCCTCCCTTATTTTCTTGTCAGTCACTATTAATCATGTAGGGATTCCTGGTTACCCCGAGGTGAATCCAATGGCTGTGAGTGTCAAACACACACTCCTTGTTCCTCCTTAGTTTCCTGTGTACCCAGAGTGCTCTCCATCTCTCTACAGTCATCTTGTCATTCTCCCCACCTCATTCCCAGCATTTCAGGCAGAGCCTCTTCCTTCAACATCAGATTGTTTTCACCTTTGTGCCTTCACAGCTGACAGCTGTGTGTGGAAAATCCTTCCGCCAATCTTTCAGGGGTTCAATCCGTGTTTTTCATTAATGTCACAAATATCTGATTAGTGAGACCTTCTCTGTCACCCAAAATTATACACTCAGCATTATCTATTATTTATTTTGAATTCTGGCTGGGCAAAGTGGCTCACGCCTGTAATCCCAGTACTTTGGGTTGCTGAGATGGTCGGATCACTTGAGGTTGGGAGTTTCAGACAAGCTTGGCCAACATGGTGAAACATCCTCTCTACAAAAAATATACAAAAAGAATTAGCCGGGCATGGTGGCAGTTGCCTGTAATCCCAGCTACTCGAGAGGGTGAGGCAGGAGAATCACTTGGATCCAGGAGACGCAGGTTGCAGTGAGCCAAGATCGTGACACTGCACTGTAGCCTGGAAGACAGAGGGAGACTCTGTCTCAATAAACAAACGAACGAACAAACAAATAGATTTCATGCACAGATGCTTCCCAATGGATCATTCATTTATTGGTCCACTTGTGCATTCATTTTCTGTCCTCCCATTTAACCATCTGCAATATCAGTGTCCCAAGAGCAGAGGCCAAATGCATCTTGTTCACCATTTGTGGAAGGCAGGAGAATGCTGTCCCACCCCAAAATGTCCCTGTCCTAGCCTCCATAGCTTGTGAATATGTTATTTTACATGGAAAGGAGGAATGAAGATTGCAGATGGAATTATGGTTGCTAATCAGCTGAACTTAAAACAAGGGTATCCTGAATGATTTCCGGGAGATTATGACGGATTTTCATCTTGGTGAACCCAATAGAATCCCCAAGTTTTCAAAAGATGAGGAAGAAGGGAGAGCAGCATTCAGAGAAAGAGGTGTGGTAAGGAAGAAGGGTCTGAGTGATGCCATGTGAGATGTGACCAGTCTTTGTGGGTTTTGAGGAAGGAGGAAAGGGACCAGCAGCCAAGGAACTGGGAGCCTTTATAAGATGGGACAAGTGAGAAGCAGATTCTTGCCTGGAATCCTCAGAGGGAAGGCAGGCTTGCTGTCATCTTGATTTTAGCCCAGTGAGATGCACTTCATGCTTTGAGCTAGAGCACTGTAAGATAATTAAATAACCGTTTTGTTTTCACCCACGAATCTTGTGGAAATTTGTTATGGCAACAATAGGAAAAGCTTCCACACTGCACAACCTGAGCATGGGGCCGTGGCTGAATAAGTCAGTGAGTCAAAGTGTGCGTGCATGAGCTCTGTTCTCTGTTACGGCAAGGCTCTTGCTCTGCTGAGTCAGCCAGGGTTGTTTCATGACCAACAGGAGCTCATTCCTTGGCAAGTGGAACTTCTCTAAAACACCTCGCCCTCATCAGATGTTCGCTTCCCTTCCCTCTCTCAAGCCCCCAGGAATTTATCCTCCAGTTAGGAATGCAAGCAGAACAAACATTGCGTTTTTCCTGAGAAGGATGTCAGATTGGCAATCATTCTTCTAGCTTGTAGGAGGTCTCAGCTCCATAAAATGAGAGATGAAGAGATTTCACTGAGCCCTGTGTTGGGCCCAGATCCCTTTCGCTGTTGGAGTATCTGGAGTTCGGAGATGGTAGAAGACAGGCGTACAATGTCAGAGCTGTGAGATGCTGAGTCAACGCCTGAATCCAAGGTTTCCACCTCCCCAGGGTTCCAAAAGCGGATATAAGAGGGTCCTGTACTCACCGGTTTTGGAGCTTGGTTCAGTGGGTGAAGGCCAACTATTTGAAGGGTTTCCTAGAACATGAGACAGGAGAGAGGTGAGGAAATGAGGGTGTCTGTCCTCTACTCAGTGGAAATCTTTGAGTTTGGTTCATGGCCAACACTCTGTTATCTAACATTGGGCCCTGGGAGTCCAGGGATCCTTTCTTCCATAATTTTTGTATGTGACGCCCACTGTCTTGAGACTTCAAGGTATAAAGAGAAAACAGGAGCATCACACTACCTGATCTCAAAATATGTTACAGAGCTGTAGTAAGCAAAACAGCATGATGTTGGCATGAAGAAAGGCACATAGAACAACGGAGCAGAATGAAGAACACAGATATAATCCATGCATTTACATCCAATTTTTTTTATTTTTTCTTTTGAGATGGAGTCTCGCTCTGTCACCCAGGCTGGAGTGCAGAGGTGCAATCTCGGTTCACTGCAACCTCAGCCTCCTGGGTTCAATCAATTCTCTTGCCTCAAACTCCTGAGTAGTAGTATTACAGGTGCTGACCACCATGCTCAGCTAATTTTTATATTTTTAGTGGAGACGAGGTTTCATCACGTCGGCCAGAGTAATCTTGTACTCCTGTCCTCAGGTGATCCACCAGCCTTGGCCTCCCAAAGTGCTGAAGTTGCTGGTGTTAGCCACCATGCCCAGCCCATCCAATGGACTTTGACAAAGGTGCCAAGAACTCACAATCAGGAAAGGACAGTTTTTTCAATAAACAGTGCAGGGAAACCTGGACATCTACATGCAGAGGAATGAAACTGCACCTCTACCTGTCACCATACACAAAAATCAAATGAAAGTGGATTAAAGATGTGAGTCTAAGGCCTGAACCTGTGAAACACGTAGAAGAAAATATTGGGGAAATGCTCCAGTACATTTGTCTGAAGGAAGACATTTTGTTTTAAACCTTCAAAACACAAGTAATCGAAGCAAAAATAGACCATTGGGATTACCTCAAACTAAGCAACTTCTGCACCGCTAAAAATAAACCAACAAAGTGAAGAGACAACCCACAGATTGGGAGCAAATATGTGCAAACTATGCATCTGAGACGGGATTAATAACTAGAAGTATAAGAAGCTCAAACAACTCAATAAAACAAATGATTTAATTGAAAAAGGAGCAAAAGACATGAAATTTCCCCACATACGAAAAAGTGCTCAGTATCACTCATCATCAGAGAAACGCGAATTAAAATCAAAGTGAGTTTTCATCTCACCCCATTAAAATGGCTTTTAGGCCGGGCGAGGTGGCTCACGTCTGTCATCCTAGAACTCTGAGAGCCCGAGGTGGGCGAATCTCATAAGGTCGGGAGTTTGAGACCAGTCTGACCCACATGGAGAAACGCTGTCTCTACTAAAAATACAAAAATTAGTCGGGCGTGGTGGCGTGTGCCTGTAATTCCAGCTACTCGGGAGGCTGAGGCAGGAGAATCGCTTGAACCTGGGAGGTGGAGGTTGCGGTGAGCCGAGATCGCACCACTGCACTCCAGCCTGGGTGACAAGAGCGAAACTCCATCTCAAAATAAAATGAAATAAAATAAAATGGCTTTTAGCTGCAAGACAGGCAAAACAAATGCTGGCAAGGTGGTAGAGAAAGGAGAACCCTGGTACCCTGTTGGTAGGAGTGTAAATTAGTACAGCCATTACGGAGAAAAGTATGGAAGTCCTTTAAAGAACTAAAAAGAGGTTGGATGAAGTGGATCATGCCTGTAATCCCGGCACTTTGGGAGACCGAGGCGGGCACCTCAGTTGAGGTCATGAGTTTGAGAGCAGCCTAGCCAACCTGGGGAAACCCCATGTACACTAAAAAAAACCAAAAAGTATCCCGGCATGGTGGCGTGCACCTGTAATCCCAGCTACTAGGGAGGCTGAGGCAGGAAAATCATTTGAACCCAGGAGGCGGAGGTTGCAATGAGCCAAGATCACATCACTTGTACTCCAGCCTGGGCACAGAGGGAAACTGTCTCAAAAACAAAAACAAAACAACAAACGAAAAACTAAAAAGAGAACTTTCATAGTATCCAGCAATTTCACTACTGGGTTTATATCCAAAGGAAAGTAAATCAATGTATCGAAGTGATATCTGCACTCGTATGATTGGTGCAGCACTCTTCACAGTAGCCAAGATGTGGAGTCAACCTACCTGCCCATCAGTGGATGAATGGATAGAGAGAATGTAGTACATACGCACAGCGGAGACTACTCATCCATAGAAAGAATAACATCCTGATATTTGCAGCCACATGGATGGAACTGGAAGTCATTACAAATATTCTCATTTCTCACCCATATACAGGAGCTAAAAGGTGGATCTCATGAAGATAGAGAGTAGAATGGTGGCTACCAGAGGCCAGGAAGAAAAGGGTGGAGGATAAAACAAACAAACAAAAAATTTATATGTATGTATTTATGACCACTAGACCTTACACTTAAAATTGGTAAACGTGGCCGGGCGCGGTGGCTCATGCCTGTAATCCCAGCACTTTGGGAGCCTGAGGCGGGTGGATCACGTGGTCAGGAGTTCCAGAGCAGCTCGACCAACATGGTGAAACCCCCTCTCTACTAAAAATACAAAAAGTAGCCCGGCGTGGTGATGGGCGCCTGTAGTACCAGCTACTCAGGTGGCTGAGGCAGGAGAATCGCTTGAACCCAGGAGGCGGAGGTTACAGTGAGCTGAGATTGTGCCACTGCATTCCAGCATAGGAGACAGAGCTAGACTCCACCTCAAAAAAAAAAAAATGTTAAAAGTGGTAAGCTATATAGGTATATTTAACCTCAATGAATATTTTTTCAAACAAAAAGAAAAGGATGTAGGGGTTGCTGGTGATGACATCTCTGTGTGGGTGAGAGGCCAGGAAGGGCTTCTGGGAAATGGGTAAGGTTGAGGGGCTGAGGGAACCTCTGATCTCCCCAAACTGAGCCCAGTCTCCCCTTCTCTGGGTCTCTCCTGACCGCTTTCTACATCTGCCTGGGTTTCTGGAGCCCTAATCGGAGGCCTCCATGCAGGCCATGCAGGAGGGTTTGGAGGTGCTGTGTGTGCCATCCTGCGCCCTGATCCCTCCCTCACAGGCATGCTGCGTCTTCTCTCTGCATCTGTCCATGCTTCTCTCCATCATCAGCAGGAAGCTCCTCAGCTAAGGCTCTAGGATCATAGGACATGGGACAGATATGGGGTTTCCTCACCTGTGACGGAAACAAGCAGTGGATCACTCGAGTTTGACCACTCGTAGGGAGCGTCACGGAAAGAGCCGAAGCATCTGTAGGTCCCTCCGTGGGTGGCAGGGCCCAGAGGAAAGTCGGCCTGGAATGTTCCGTTGATGCTGCGCACTGCAGGGAGCCTACGTTCATGGGCCTCCCCTTCCCTGGATAGATGGAGCTGCAGGACAAGGTCACATTCTCTCCTGCCTGAACCGTGGGGCCCGGCTGGGCTGAGAGAGAAGGTTTCTCATATAGACCTGGAAGGAGAAGGGGCAGTTTCCTCAGGGGGGATCTTCCTTGTCACAGCTCCCCTCACACCTGACCTGAGAACTCACTCCCCTGCTCTATGGCCTAATGCTCTCTTTCTCTGTCTCACCCTCCACCCTATCTCTCTTCATGTCTATTTCCTCCTTCCACCTTCTCTGTCTCTGTAGGTCTCTGACCTCACTTCCCTACCTCTAGTTATGTTTTCCGTTTTTGGATTGTTTTATTCTCTCTGGCTCTCCTTGGATTGGTTGACTTGATGTTACTTTTTTTAACTCTGAGTTTCTCAGTTTGTGTCCCGTTCATAACTTTCTGCATATTTCTATCTATTATCTATCAATCCATCTATTTATCTATTCGGTGCCTATCTACAAATTCTCTACCTGTCATCTATATCTATATATCATCTATTTATCTATCAATTGTCTATCCGTCAATCATCTATTATCTATATATATGTATCATCTCTCTCTCTCTATTATTTCTCTCTTTGTCTTCCTCTCTATCTCTATGTATTATCTATCCATCTATCTTCATCATCATCATCTCTATGTATCATCTATTAATGAATCAATCAATCATCATCTATGTATCTATAACCTATTATCTATCATCTACCTATATATCATCTATCTATATCTATCCATCATCTATCTGTATCTATCCATCTATCATCTGTCTTGCTCTGCCTCTCGGTCTCTCTAGTTCTCTTTGGAATCTCTGCAATTCATCCCCACATCTCCATCTTTCTATGCCCTTGTGCCTCGCCCTCAGGACTCTAATTTTAGTGGTTTTCTCTGCTCTCTTCCATCATTCTCTCCACTTCTCTGCCCTCTTCTCTCTCTTTATGTGTCTGTGAGTCTCTCAATCTCCTTCCTCTGGCTCTTTCTCTGTGTGTTTATGTCTTTGCTTTTTGGTGTCCCTGATTTCTCTCTGTGCTTCTCAGTGATCCTCTCATATGTGATATGTGGGGTTATTTGGAATGTGAGCCTCAGAATCCAGTCTGGAGACCACAAGTTCACACAGCATACAGGGGTTGGTGTTCTGGGGCCATGATATTTTGGGACGATTATTCTCCATTGCATGGAAGTCAGAGGTGTCAGAATAAGCATGGCATCTGTAGGTGCCACAAGGCCTGAGGCCACAGGGCCCAACTCAGGTCAGAAATATGGGTGTCCTTGGGTTCTCCTGGTAGAGAACACTTTGTGGAGGTAAAACAGAAATGAAACTTCTAACCTGTGCCAGGTCTCTGAGCAAAGTCAGCATGGAAGGACACCTCTGTCTGGGACATGTCTGTCTGTCTCCTTTAACTCTTTCTGTCTTTTCTAACTCCCTGTATGGCCCCTGTGTTTGTCCTCTGTTATGACACCTGGTCTGTACTTGTGTCTCTTGTTTCTCTGTCTCTGTTGGCACAGACCTCACCAAGTCAGTCTCTCTCCATAAGAATACCAAGCTCATCTTCCTTACAACCACCTGGGTCTCCAAGTCCTGGATCATTCACTCTGCATCCCAATGACAATGAGAAGAATGTCTGGACACTCTCACCTATGATCACCATGTCCAGAGGGTCACTGGGAGCTGACAACTGATAGGGGGAGTGAGGAACAGAACCGTAGCATCTGTAGGTTCCTGCAAGGACAGGCATCATGGGACCAATGGAGAAGTTGGCCTTGGAAACCCCATCATGGTGCTCTCCAATGAGGTGCAAAGTGTTGTTAAACTTCCCCTCTCTGTGCAGAAGGAAGTGCTCAAACATGACATCCGACCAACATTGCAGGATGACTGTCTCTTCTGATTTCACCAGGTGACCTGGGAGGGCCAGGAAGGAAGGTTTTCTGTGGACTCCTAGGAAGAGAGGTTGTGAGTTTAGAAGGTGTCTCTCTTTATCATCCCATCCATGGCACCTGGAATGAGTGAGCCTTCCCTTCGCTGGTGTCTGTCTCTCTGCTTCCTCTCTGTGTCTTCATGTTCTTTTCTGTGCCCATAACTCCTGGTGCAGGTCCTTCCATCTGTCTCCCTCCCTCTTCTCTGTCCCTCTGTCTCTAGTAGCTGTGATTCCCTTCCCACTGGGCTCAGCCTCATCTCTTGGGCTGTTGTATCTATTTCACACTAATGTCTTTCTTACTGTCTATGTGGGAGTGGAAGAGGAAGCAGGATAGGCTGCACGTCCCGGCTCTTAGCAGCTTGGTTCAATCTCTTTTGGACGAATTGGAATCCTTGGCAGGAGGTATGAACTGATCAGTAAGGCAGGCACCAGTGTCCACACACCCTGTTCCTGGTGGGGACTGGGAGCCACTCTTGCCATGTCTGTGCCTTCTCCATGGTGCCAGTTTCCATAGGCTGGCTCCTCGTGCTGATTTGAGGAGTATCAACCCCTCCCTATGTGGATGGAGCCTGGTGGTGGCATCATCATCCCACCCTTGCTGATCTCGGTGTAGCCAACCTTCTCTTTGTTTGGTTTCTTTAATTAATTAATTAATTTTGGAGACAGAGTCTCACTCCTTCACCCAGGCTGGAGTGAAGTGGTGTGGTCTACGCTCACTGCAACCTCTGTCTCCTGGGTTCAAGCGATTCTCCTGCTCTCAGCCTCCCGAGTCGCTAGGATTACATGCACCTGCCACCATGCCTGGCTATCCTTGTGTCTTTTCTTAACTTGTCCTTGACCTGGGTTCCAGTGTTGGTTTCCTGTTGCTGCTGTAGAAAATTATCAGAAGCATGGCAGCAGGAGAGAGCACACTGACCCCCTCCGATTCTGGAGACAGAAAGCGGACCCTGTTTTTCGAGGGCTAAAATCAAGGCATCTGCAGGGCTGTGTTCCCTCTGGAGACTCAGGAGAATCAGTTACTTGACTTTCCCAGCCTCTATAGGCCACCTGCATTCATGGCTTATGGCCTTCATCCACCTTCAAAGCTGATGGAGTCTCCCACTACGCTGCTCTAATCCCCACTCTCCTCTTCCTCCTCCTTTCATGTGGACACTTGTGATTATACTGAGCCCACCGGGACAGTCCAGGCTGTCTCCCCATCTCAAGGTCAACTCATCAACAACCTGAGCTCCATCTTCCCCTTCAGTCCCTTCCCCTATAACATAAATAGTCACAGACTCC
Organism: Homo sapiens; assembly: GCF_000001405.40. Classification (NCBI taxonomy): domain Eukaryota; kingdom Metazoa; phylum Chordata; class Mammalia; order Primates; family Hominidae; genus Homo; species Homo sapiens. The sequence goes on along the minus strand of NT_187677.1, from coordinate 113,680 downwards.
AGGGATTAGAATGCAGTCATCACTGGGGACACTTATTCTTCCCACCACAGCACCCATTTCCCTGTATTCAATCCCCCTTTACCCCAAATACAGTTAGGGCCTGCGTGATGGGACCCTCAAGGACATGCCTACCAGAAGCTCTGGGATTCAGGAGGTGGGACAAGGAGAATCCCAGACAGGAGCCCTCTGACCTGTGACCACGATCACCAGGGGGTTGCTGGGTGCCGACCACCCACTGGGGGAGTGTGTGTGTGAACCCCGGCATGTATAGGTCCCTGCATGTGACGTGGTCACAGGGCCCATGAAAAGGCTTTTCCAGAATATTCTGTTGTACAGCTCAGGGACAGGCACCCCATCATCCTTGTACAGACTGAAGTTGTTAAACCCAAGATTAGAGTGACACTGAAGAGTCACATGTTCTGGAGGCACCACAAGGCTGGGCCAGGTAGAAAGCAAGGGCTTGTCCTGACCACCTTGGGGTGAAGGAGGCGCCGCCTTAGAGAGGAGGATGTGGAGCTGTGCCTCCCTCCCTGTGCTCAGAAGATTCTCCCCACTTTCCACATTTCTATGGCTGCTATCACACCTTGGTGCCTAGGGCTAAAGGAAGGACCCATCCCACAAAGACAAGGTGTCTCCGTACAACAAAAGTGTCAGCTGAGAACTTTGAGCAAGTGCTGAGTAAGAGACTCCTACTAGATTTTAATACTGTAAGATTACTGACATAAAACAACACAGGGTAGACATGAAGTGGAGGGCATGTCCTTTGAGAATGGAATATCAGCAGTTGCCTGAATGAAAATAAAAAACTTAGCCCCCATCAGAGGATTTGGAATGTCAGGGCCATGGCTGTGGTTTCCCACCTCTTCTGGTAGAATGACAGCAGCCACACTGCAGCCCCTACCGTCATGGAAACGCTGAAGTGTGTGAGTAACACCTTTGTCCTCAGAGGATCTGCTGTTCCTACCACTTCCCCACCACACAACCCAGCTTTGAACACCCTAGTCCAACCCTGGTCCCCACACAACTTGACTCTGCCAAGGGGTTGAGAGGCCAGGGAGGCAAGGTCGGAACTGTGGGCCGAGCACCCCAGGGTCCCCTCTTCCTAGTTTATGAGAGACTCCCTGACAGGACTTCCCTCCCGTTTCAGGAAAATCCTCTTATGTGGGGAGATGACACCCTAAGGTTTGGAGAAGGACTTACCCTCCTGTGGCCAGGCCCCCTGCAGCAAGAAGAACCCTGGAAAGAAAGATCATGATGGAAGATCCATTTGCAGGCAAACAAGGCCTTCCTTGCTGCCCCCACTGGGCTGTGAGTCTTGATAGCCAGCCCCTTCCTGGGCCGAAGGGAAACTCACCATCAGAGCCTACCTGCACCCAAGAACAGTGCTCTCGGCTGTGCAGAGACCCAGCCTCCAGGCCCATATCCCCACCCCAAGCCCATATCTCCACTCCAGGCCCATATCTCCACTCCAGGCCGATATTTCCACCCTAGACCCATATAGCCAATCCGGGCCCACATCTCCAATCCAGGCTCAGATCTCCACCCTCGGCCCATATCTCCAATCCAGGCCCATATCTCCACTCCAGGCCCATATCTCCACTCCAGTCCCATATCTCCTCTCCAGTCCCATATCTCCACTCCAGGCCCATATCTCCACCCCAGGCCCAGATCTCCACCTCCAGGCCCATAACTACACTCCAGGATCATATCTCCACTCCAAGCCCATATCTCCACATCAGGCCCATATCTCCACTCCAGTCCCATATCTCCACACCCAGGCCCATATCTCCATTCCAGGCCCATATCCCCATCCTAGGCCCATATCTCCACCGTAGGCCCAGATCTCCACTCCAGGCCCATATCTCCACTCCAGGGCCATATCTCCACTCCAGGCCCATATCTACACACCAGGCCCATATCTCCACCCCATGCCCATGTCTCCACTCCAGATCCATATCTCCACCCCACGCCCATATCTCCACTCCAGGCCCATATCTCCAACCCACGCCCATATCTCCACCTCCAGGCACATATCTCCACCCCACGCCCGTATCTCCACTCCAGTCCCATATCTCCACTCCCGGCCCATGTCTCCACCCCATGCCTATATCTCCACTCCAGTCCCATATCTCCACTCCAGGCCCATATCTCCACTCCAGACCCATATCTCCACTCGGCCCATGTCTACACTCCAGGCCCATATCACCACCTCCAGGCCCATATCTCCACTCCAGGCCCATATCTCCACCTCCAGGCCCGTATCTCCACTCCAGACCCATATGTCCACTCCAGGCCCATATCTCCACTCCAGGCCCATATCTCCACTCCAGGGCCATATCTCCACTCCAGGCTCATATCTCCACTCCAGGCCCATATCTCCACTCCAGGGCCATATCTCCACTCCAGGCTCATATCTCCACTCCAGGCCCATATCTCCACTCCAGGGCCATATCTCCACTCCAGGCCCAGATCTCCACCTCCAGGCCCGTATCTCCACTCTAGTCCCATATCTCCACTCCAGGCCCATATCTCCACCTCCAGGCCCATAACTTCACTCCAGGCCCATAACTCCACTCCAGGCCCATATCTCCACCTCCAGGCCCATATCTCCACTCCAGGGCCATATCTCCACTCCAGGCTCATATCTCCACTCCAGGCCCATATCTCCACTCCAGGGCCATATCTCCACTCCAGGCCCAGATCTCCACCTCCAGGCCCCTATCTCCACTCTAGTCCCATATCTCCACTCCAGGCCCATATCTCCACCTCCAGGCCCATAACTTCACTCCAGGCCCATAACTCCACTCCAGGCCCATATCTCCACCTCCAGGCCCATATCTCCACTGCAGACCCATATCTCCACTCCAGGCCCATATCTCCACTCCAGGCCCAGATCTCCACTCCAGGCCCAGATCTCCACTCCAGGCCCAGATCTCCACCTCCAGGCCCCTATCTCCACTCTAGTCCCATATCTCCACTCCAGGCCCATATCTCCACCTCCAGGCCCATAACTTCACTCCAGGCCCATAACTCCACTGCAGACCCATATCTCCACTCCAGGCCCATATCTCCACTCCAGGACCATATCTCCACTCCAGGCTCATATCTCCACTCCAGGCCCGTATCTCCACCTCCAGGCCCATAACTTCACTCCAGGCCCATAACTCCACTCCAGGCCCATATCTCCACTCCAGTCCCATATCTCCACTCCAGTCCCATATCTCCACCCTAGGCTCCTACCTCCCCTCCAGGTTCCTATCTCTCCTCCAGGTTCCTCTCTCCACTCCAGGTTCCTATCCCCACTCCAGGCCCATATCTCCACTCCAGGCCCAGATCTTCACTCCAGGCCCAGATCTCCACTCCAGGCGCAGATCTCCACTTCTAGGCTCATCACTCCATCTCTAGGCCCAGATCTCCACTCCAGGCCCATAACTCCACCTCCAGGCCCATATCTCCACCTCTGGGCCCAGATCTCCATCCCCACGCTCCCTCCCTCTATTCCCTTCCAGGACTCACCAACACACGCCATGATGATGACCATGAGCGACATGGTGCTGCCGGTGCAGACAGGCGGCCGCGCCCCAGCTCAGCTCAGCAGCGCACAGGATGTTATTTGGCGCCCTGCCCATGCAGTTTACATGTTGACCACATCATGGGAGGGTGACGTACGCAGGCTTTTTCTACCTTGCATGAGGCCCAGTGGGTGCTCGCTCAAGAGCAGAACATGGCTTCCTGGAAATTGCTCTCACTAGAATTGACACCTCGCGTCCTTCACTATGACCAACTCAAAACATGTCTTAGATCCAACCTCCCAAACATGAGATGCCTAAAATCTGTGCTAACATGAAAGACTTTTCATGAATTTTTATTGTTTTTATCTGAGATTCGAACTCTTCTTCCTGTGTAATATGCAAAATATCTAATAGGTATTATTAGTGTTTTCAGAGTCATTGTGACTAATAAACCATTAGAATTGTTCATGCTTGTATTTCTAGTATTACAGCAGAACCAGTTCAAATGATTTAAATTCCCAGGGAAGGATTATGCAATTATTTACAATCTTAGAATTGTACTTTATCAGCAAAAACCACACATGTAAATTCTGGATTTTTGTAGTTTTATCTATAATTTGTCTCATGACTCAAGATTCCAGAGTCCCAACTCTGGAGTTTGCTCTCTCTCTGTCTCTCTGCCTCCCTCATTTTAAATTTTACAGAAATATCCAGTAACATAATGCTATAGAAAATCAAGTTTCCCCCAGCAGGTCGGGAAGCCGAGGTGGGCGGATCAACTGAGATGAGGAGATTGAGAGCAGCCTGGCCAACACAGTGAAACCGCGTCTCTGCTAAAAATTCAAAAATTAGCCATGCCTGGTGGCAGGCACCTGAAACGCCAGCTACTCAAGAGACTGAGGCACGAGAATCGCCTGAACCTGGGAGGCGGAAGTTGCAGTGAGCTGAGATTGCTCCACTACAGTCCCGCCTGGGCGACAGAGCAAGACTCCGCCTCAAGAAAAAAAAATAGCAAGTAGCCTATAATAACAAATTAGAGGGCTCTGGCTACTAAATTTAAAGGGTTTTATAAGGCTACATGAAGTGCAGCATCCTCAAGAGTGTGGACACAGAGAGCCCCTTAGCAGAAACAGTGTCTAAAATACATCCGTGTACACACAGTCCCTTTAGAGTTGACAAAGGCTGCCGTGTGGTTTAAGGTGGCATAGAATGTCTTCTTAATAAATAATATTAAACCAAAGGGTTACACGTAGGAAAAAATAAATCTAAACTTATTCTCACACTATAAAAACACTTCTTACTTTTTATCTAGTTATTGTACATTTTTTATGATTTATATTTAAAATTGAGAAATAAAAGTCATATACGGTCATCCTTTACTATTCGTGGGTGATTGGTTTCAGGATCTCCACTCAGGTACCAAAATCTGCAGATGCTCAAGCCTCTTACATAAAATGACACAGCATTTGGATATAACCCATGCACATCCTCCTGTATACATGAAATCATCTCTTGATTACTTATAATTCCTGATACAGCCTACACACTGCCTCATTTGTGTCCATTCAACATAGTTTTGCATTTTGAAACTTTGTGGACATTTTCTCTGAATATTTTTGATTTACACTTGGTTCAATAAACACCTGTAAACCCCACAGATATGGAGGAGCGACTGTATATTTATAGTATGAAATATGATGTGTTGATATGTGTCCCCGTGGAGATGAGACTAGCAAGGCTTATGACTCTACAAATGTTTCATCGTGGAATGACTCTGCCAGCTTTCCAGGTTGCAGAGAGTAAGAATATCACTTGTTCATGTGATTCACGATCCTTGGAACCTCCTATGTGCTGCATCTTTGGATGGAAATTGGAGTCCCAGAGACAAATGAGGCTCCACCCTGCTTCCAGAAGCTCAGAGTCCAGGGGTGAGAACCCAGCGGAGAACAGATGGGGTTATGTGGACATGGTAATGATAACAGCGGTTTCTTTCAGCGAATACAGTGTCACATTACCTGAAGCAATGAGGGCAGACATGTTTATTTGAAGAGGAGACAGCTACATTGAAATCACAAAAAATTTTATAAGTTTCACTGCTGACAGAAGGCTGGAAAATAGTCCGAAGAAAGGTGAAACAGCATGAGGGAAGGTGGAACAGCACGTGGGTAAGTGCCACGTCAAGAGGGAGCCTCTTGTATGTTTGGAATTGTGAGTTCCTCAGTGTGATTGCAGCCTCAAGTAGACTAGGAAGTAAGCCAGTTAGGTTGGAGAGGTGGGCAGGGGTCAAGTGAAATGGAGAACTGTGGGCTAAGCAAAGGAGTGTGTTTTCTTTCCAGCAGGCAGTGGGGACCTAGACATTTGTAAGCAAGAGAGAGGCACCAGATTTGTGGCGTGAGGAGGAGCGATGCCCTAAGATGAAGACTCACGCCTTCAGATTCCAGCTGCTGGTACATGGGAGCTGGCAACTCGGTTTTGAGACAGGGCTGTTGTCTCCCTAGAAGACGTCCTCAAGGCCTGACTGTGGTGCTCATGGGCAGGAGACAACTTTGGATCTGGGCTTAGCATTTGGAAGTTCCGTGTACAAGATGGTATCTGTAGGGGGTGTCTTGGGCCTCTGAGAAGGGCGAGTGATTTTTCTCTGTGTGAAAACGCAGTGATCCAACTGTGCGTATGTCACCTCCTCAGGGTCTTGTTCATCAGAGTCCTGGAGAGAGGGAAATGCTGAGTGAGGGAGGGAAATGCTGAGTGAGGGAGGGTGCTCACGTTTTCCAGGACTGTTTGGGAATAACACTAGCCACGAGGCTGGGCCGAGGAGCACCTACCTCGCTGTTGGCTGTTCTGTTCCCTGCAGGCTCTTGGTCCATTACAGCAGCATCTGTAGGAGACGGAAGTCAACAAAAGAGCTCGGAGGGCACTTCTGGGTCCTCATTTCATAAGCAGATACCAACAAACAGGGGGAGGCCATAGGTGCCTGAGGTCCCTCAGTTGCCAACAGCAGACTCAGACATTCTATCTCTCTGAGCTCAAGGACCCATCCCATGAATAGCTCTGAGTTCCCATCCCATTGATTCTGTCTCCCACTTTCTGCCTGTCATGGAACCTTCTCCTGGATGTGAGTGGCTGCAGGGGACATGAGGATACAGTTCAGAATCAGGCAACGGTCTGTGAGCTGAAGGCAGGGGCAGGGAGTCTGGTGCTCTCTCTAGAAAGTCCTGCCTCTGTGGCTCCTGTCTTGGGCCAGGGACCATCCTGCCAGTGAGGAACACACAGCTGTGTGCTCCCATCCTGCTTCCCCACATGGCCCTGAGCTCTCTGGCCTGTGCCCCGTGAGACTTACTTTTTTTGTTGGAGCACCAGAGATGAAGGAGAAAGAAGAGGAGGAGGATGAAGAGGATGATGACCACTGAGGTCCCAATCAGAATGTGCAGGTGTCTGGGGTTACCTGGAAGAAGAGGAGACACCAGTAAGAAGCTAATCATAGCAGTTTCTCTATATGAATTGTCTTGCATTTCTTGATTGACAGGTAACCACTTACAGCATCTCTTTCGGACAAGCACCCAGATGGCGGGAGATCTAGCTTCCTCCTGCTTTCTCAGTTATAGCTCTCATAGTAACCATGGAACGTGCTGAGGATACAACTACTTTAGTTGAGATGTTTGACCCCTTCAAACCTCACATTGAAATTTAACCCCCAGTGTGGGAGGTTGGGCCTCTTGGGAGGTGTTTGGGTCATGGAGGTGGATCCATCATGAACAGATCAATGCTGTCCCAAGGAGACGGGGTTAGCAAGTTCCCTCTCTATTAGTTCCTGGAGAGCTGGTTGTTAAAAAGAGCTTGGAAGCTCCATTGCTCCCCCTCCCCCTTGCTCCCTCTCTTGCCGTGTGATCTCTGTGGTCTCTGCACAGACAGACCCTCCTTCCCTTCTGCCAGAGTGGGAGCGGCCTGAGGCCATCATAAGAAATAGATGCTGGTGCCATGCTTCCAGTACAGCCTGCAGAACGGTGAGGCAAACCAATCTCTTCTTTAGAAGTTACCCAGGCTCAAGTGTTCCTTTAGAGCAACAAAAATGGACTAAGACAGCAAAGTCCTGAGATCAGGAGGATTGTCCCAGAACAGCCTGGGCTGTCTTCCTGTTCTTCCTGGAGGAGGACGTCATGCAGTGCTTTAGCTGAGTGCTTCCTGTGGCTCCAGGGTACAAAACCCAGGCTGGGCTGCTTTCTGGCTTCCCCCAGCTACACTGCAAATGGGGTGACTCCACATGTCTCGAGCAGCTTTTCTGAGCCTTGGGGAACTGGCTCACATTGAAATGTAGGCTTCTGTTGTCACTCGCTGCTTATCTGTTAGTAATGAACCTGCCTATGTAACGTATTCTCTGTGTGTTCTGTCTCCCTGGAGTGACGGTGAGTGATAGGAATTGGCATAGGCCCAGGTGCAGTCCAGGAGGTGTTTAGAGTCTTCTCTGGGAAGACTGGACTGGGATTGATACACAGCGAATGTGCTTTAGGATTTCTACATCCACGGCATTCTTGAGTTAAACAACTTGCATTCTCCAAGAAAAGGAAACAAAAGTGAAATCAATATAAAAAAAGCGAAGTAGAATTCTCTTATGTCAAACAGCCAGAAAATAGTGTTGAAGCCCGTGTGAAATGTGCTACTCTTTGTGATCTCGGGAGACACATGTTAGGCTGCTGTTCTACCTCAGAGGCTGGGGGAAGGACCACCCCCTCGACTATCTATTGCTTCAATACCACCTGTCCTCCTGTGAATTAGTAGGAAAGGGGAGCAGGAGCTAGTGCTGGCACTGATCTCTGATTCCAAGATCTGGACTCACTCCAAGGAGTATTAGCATTTACCTCCCCATGATCTATCTGTATTTCCACAGGTGATTGGAAGTAGGGGTGAGATGGGGGATTTGGGTGAGGGGGCAAGTTTTTTTTGTGATGACCAGAGCACTTTCTCTATTCCAGGATTTGTGCTGGAGGATTCAGCGGGCTTTCACATTTTCTATATGATCTCATGCTCACAGAAAGCCAAATACGGAAGAGGTTTTAGGCTGATTGCCTAATGGATAAGATAAAGGATCAAAGAAGTAATTATAGAGAAATAGAAAAATGATGATGGGAATTCAGGTGCCTTTGTCATTCGTGTGTGTTTTATTATATTTATGCATTTCTTATTTTTATTTTTTGAGATGGAGTCTCCTTGTGTCACCCAGGCTGGAGTGCAGTGATGCGATCTCCACTCACTGCAACCTCCACCTCCTGGGTTGAAGTCATTCTCCTGCTTCATCCTCCAGAGCAGGAGCTGGGATTACAGGGATGCACCACCATGCTCGGCTAATTTTTGTATTTTTAGGAGAGATAGGGTTTCACCATGTAGAGATAGGGTTTCTCCATGTTGGCCAGGCTGGTCTCGAACTCCTGACTTCTTGGAATCCACTGGCCTTAGCCTCCTGCAGTGCTGGGTTACAGGAGTGAGCCACCGTTCACAGACTTGTATACTATGCTATAATAGGTCCCTTCATTTCCACCACCCCTCATATATCTGTCACTCCTTTGCCAGGTATTGATTTATGTGTAGGAGGAATAAATCTCAGAAAGAAATTAATTTAGCAAGGATTAAACAACTAGGAAACTCAAACCCAGCAAGCCCTCCCTGCAAATGATTCTACCTCCCAAACATAGCTTATATCCATCTGCTTCATCCACTTAGGGTCTAAATCAGCACCACATTTCACCAGTGGGGCGGCAATTGCCTTTTCCACTGTCTCCTAGATTCCAGTTACGCACCTGGGCCTCCCTTATTTTCATGTCAGTCACTATTAATCATGTAGGGATTCCTGGCTACCCCGAGGTGAATCCAATGGCTGTGAGTGTCAAACACACACTCCTTGTTGCTCCTTAGTTTCCTGTGTACCCAGTGTGCTCTCCGTCTCTCCACAGTCGTCTTGTCATTCTCCCCACCTCATTCCCAGCATTTCAGGCAGAGCCTCTTCCTTCCACATCAGATTGTTTTCAGCTTTCTGCCTTCACGGCTGACAGCTGTGTGTGGAAAATCCTTCCGCCAATCTTTCAGGGGTTCAATCCGTGTTTTTCATTAATGTCACAAATATCTGATTAGTGAGACCTTCTCTGTCACCCAAAATTATACACTCAGCATTATCTATTATTTATTTTGAATTCTGGCTGGGCAAAGTGGCTCACGCCTGTAATCCCAGTACTTTGGGTTGCTGAGATGGTCGGATCACTTGAGGTTGGGAGTTTCAGACAAGCTTGGCCAACATGGTGAAACATCCTCTCTACAAAAAATATACAAAAAGAATTAGCCGGGCATGGTGGCAGTTGCCTGTAATCCCAGCTACTCGAGAGGGTGAGGCAGGAGAATCACTTGGATCCAGGAGACGCAGGTTGCAGTGAGCCAAGATCGTGACACTGCACTGTAGCCTGGAAGACAGAGGGAGACTCTGTCTCAATAAATAAATGAACGAACAAACAAATAGATTTCATGCACAGATGCTTCCCAATGGATCATTCATTTATTGGTCCACTTGTGCACTCATTTTCTGTCCTCCCATTTAACCATCTGCAATATCAGTGTCCCAAGAGCAGAGGCCAAATGCATCTTGTTCACCGTTCGTGGAAGGCAGGAGAATGCTGTCCCACCCCAAAATGTCCCTGTCCTGGCCTCCATAGCTTGTGAATATCTTATTTTACATGGAAAGAAGGAATGAAGATTGCAGATGGAATTACGGTTGCTAGTCAGCTGAACTTAAAACAAGGGTATCCTGAATGATTTCCGGGAGATTATGATGGATTTTCATCTTGGTGAACCCAATAGAATCCCCAAGTTTTCAAAAGATAAGGAAGAAGGGAGAGCAGCATTCAGAGAAAGAGGTGTGGTAAGGAAGAAGGGTCTGAGTGATGCCATGTGAGATGTGACCAGTCTTTGTGGGCTTTGAGGAAGGAGGAAGGGGACCAGGAGCCAAGGAACTGGGAGCCTTTAGAAGCTGGGACAAGTGAGAAGCAGATTCTTGCCTGGAATCCTCAGAGGGAAGGCAGCCTTGCTGTCACCTTGATTTTAGCCCAGTAAGATGCACTTCCTACTTTGAGCTACAGCACTGTAAGATAATTAAAAAACCGTTTTGTTTTCACCCACGAATCTTGTGGAAATTTGTTATGGCAACAATAGGAAAGGATTCCAACTGCACAGCCTGAGCATGGGGCCGTGGCTGAATGAGTCAGTGAGTCGAAGTGTGCGTGCATGAGCTCTGTTCTCTGTTACGGCAAGGCTCTTGCTCTGCTGAGTCAGCCAGGGTTGCTTCATGACCAACAGTAATTCATTCCTTGGCAAGTGGAACTTCTCTAAAACACCTCGCCCTCATCAGATGTTCCCTTCCCTTCCCTCTCTCAAGTCCCCAGGAATTTATCCTCCAGTTAGGAATGCAGGAAGAAAAAACACTGCATGTTTCCTGAGAAGGATGTCAGATTGGCAATCATTCTTCTAGCTTGTAGGAGGTCTCACCTGCAGGACATTAAAGGTTAAGAGACTTCGCTGAGCCCTTTGGTGGCCCTAGATCCCTTTCACTGTTGGAGTGTCTGGAGTTCAGAGATGGTGGAAGACAGGCCCTCATTCACAGAGCTGGGAGGTTTGAGCCAACACTTGCATCCAAGGCTTCCACCTCCCCAGGTTTCCAAAAGCAGAGATAAGAGGGGTCCTTTACTCACCAGATTTGGAGCTTGGTTCTGTGGGTGAAGGCCAACTACTTGAAGGGTTTCCTAGAACATGGGACAGGAGAGATGTGAGGAAATGAGGGTGCTTGTCCTCTACTCAATGGAAATCTTTGAGGTTGGTTCATGGCCAACACTCTGTTATCTAATGTTGGACCCTGGGAGTCTTGGGATCCTCTTCTCCATAATTTTTGTGTGCGATGCCCACTGTCTTGAGACTTGAAGGTATAAAGAGAAAACAGGAGCATCACACTACCTGACTTAGAAATATGTTACAGAGCTGTAGTAAGCAAAACAGCATGACATTGGCATAAAGAAAGGCACATAAAAAATGAAACAGAATGGAGAACACAGATATAATCCATGCATTTACATCCAATGGCTTTTTTTGTGTGTGTGTGTGATAGAATCTTGCTCTGTCATGCAGGCTGGAGTGCAGAGGTGCAATCTCAGCTCAATGCAACCTCCACTTCCTGGATTCAAGCAATTCTCTTGCCTCAAACACCCGAGTAGTGGTATTACAGGCACTGGTCACCATGCTCAGCTAATTTTTGTATTTTTAGTAGAGACGAGGTTTCACTCTGTTGGCCAGCCTGGTCTTGAACTCCTGGCTTCAGGTGATCCACCCGCCTCGGCCTCCCAAAGTGCTGGAATTGCAGGTGTGAGCCACCATACCCAGCCCATTTAATGGACTTTGACAAAGGTGCCGAGAACTTACAATCAGGAAAGGACAGTCTTTTCAATAAATGGTGTGGGGAAAACTGGATATCTACATGCAGAGGAATAAAACTGCATCTATACCTGTCACCATACACAAAAATCAAATGAAAATGGATTAAAAACATGAGTCTAAGGCCTGAACCTATGAAACATGTAGAAGAAAATAATGGGGAAGACATTTGTCTGACGAAAGACATTTTGTTTAAAACCTTCAAAACACAAGTAATCAAAGCAAAAAATAGACCATTAGGATTACATCAAACCAAGCAACTTCTGCACCACAAAAGATAAACCAAGAAAGTGAAGAGACAACCGACAAAATAGGAGCAAATATTTGCAAACTATTCATCTGAGACGGGATTAATAACTGGAAATATAAGAAGCTCAAACAACTCAATAAAACAATTTAATTAAAAAACGAGCAAAAGACATGAGGAGACATTTCTCCACAAACAAAACATAGAAATGGCGATCACGTATATGAAAAAGTACTCGGCATCACTCATCATCAGAGAAATGTAAATTACAATCGCGATGAGTTTTCATCTCATCCCATTAAAATGCCTTTTAGGCCGGTGGCTCACGCCTGTAATTCCGGCACTTCAGGAGGCGGAGGTGGGCGGATCACCTGAGGTCGGGAGACCAGCCTGACCATCATGGAGAAACTCCCTCTCTACTAAACATACAAAAATTAGCTAGGCGTGGTGGCACATGCCTGTAATCCCAGCTACTTTGGAGGCTGAGGCAGGAGAATCAGTTGAACGCGGGAGGCGGAGGTTGCAGTGAGCTGAGATCACACCCTTGCACTCCAGCCTGGGAGACTATGAGTGAAACTCCATCTCAACATAAATAAATAAATAAAATAAAGTAAAGTAAAATGGCTTTTACTGCAAGACAGGCAAAACAAATGCTGGCAAGATGGTAGAGAAAGGAGAACCCTGGTACCCTGTTGGTAGGAATGTAAATTAGTACAACTATTATGGAGAAAAGTATGGAAATTCTTTAAAAAACTAAAAGGAGGCTGGGCATAGTGGCTTATGCCTGTAACTTCAGCACTTTGGGAAACCGAGGCAGGCACCTCACTTGAGGTCAGGAGTTTGAGAGCAGCCTGCCCAAAATTGGGATATCCCGTCTGTGCTAAAAAAATACAAAAATTAGCCAGGCATGGTGGCGTGCACCTGTAATCACAGCTACTAGGGAGGCTGAGTCAGGACAATCATTTGAACCTAGGAGGCACAGGTTGCAATGAGCCAAGATCTCACCACTTAGACTCCAGCTTGGACTAAGGAGGGAAACTCTTTCTCAAAAAAGAAAAAAAAAAAAAGAGAACTTTCATAGTGTCCAGCAATTTCACTACTGGGTTTATATCCAAAGGAAAGGACATCAGTGTATCGAAGTGATATCTGCACTCATATGACTGTTCCAGCACTGTTCACAGTAGCCAAGATGTGGAGTCAACCTACCTGCCCATCAGTGGGTGAATGGATAGAGAACTGTGGTACACACACACAGTGGAGACTACTCATCCATAGAAACAATAACATCCTGTCATTTGCAGCCACATGGATGGAACTGGAGGTCATTACAAAGATTCCCATTTCTCACCCACATGCAGGAGATAAAAGGTGGATCTCATGAAGGTGGAGAATACAATGGTGGACACCAGAGGCCAGGAAGGGAAGGGTGGAGGGTAACAAAAAAAAGAATATAGATGTATTTATTTATTTAGAAACAGAGTCTCTCTCTGTCTCCCAGGCTGCAGTGCAGTGGCATGATCTCGGCTCAGTGCAACCTCTGCCTCCTGGGTTTAAGTGCTTCTCCTGCCTCAGCCTCCCAAGTAGCTAGGACTACAGGTGCATGCCAGCATGCTCGGCTAATTTTTCTTGTCTGTTTAGTAAAGATGAATTTCCCACATGTTGGCCAGGGTGATCTCGAGTTCCTGATCTTAAATGATCCACCTTCCTTGGCCTCTCAAAGCGCCGAGATTACAACCGTGAACCACCACACCCAGCATATAAAGGTATTTATGACCACTAGATTTTACTTTTAAAAATGGTAAAGGTGGTAAATTATATAGTTACATTTAACCTCAATAAATATTTTTGAAAATGAAAAGAAAAGGGTGTAGGGGTTGCTGGTGATGATATCTCTCTGTGTGGGTGAGAGGCCATGATGGGCTTCTGGGAAATGGATAAGATTGAGGGGCTGAGGGAACCTCTGATCTCCCCAAACTAAGCCCAGTCTCCCCTTCTCTGGGTCTGTCCTGACCGCTTTCTCCATCTGCCTGGGTGCCTGGAGCCCTGATCGGAGGCCTCCATGCAGGCCATGAAGGAGGGTTTGGAGGTGCCCTGTCTGCCATCCTGCGCCCTGACTCCGCCCTCACACCTGCTGTGTCTTCTCTCTGCATCTGTCCATGCTTTTCTCCATCATCAGCAGGAAGCTCCTTAGCTAAGGATTTAGGATCATAGGACATGAGAGAGATATGGGCTTTTCTCACCTGTGACAGAAACAAGCAGTGGGTCACTCGGGTCTGACCACTCGTAGGGAGAGTGACGGAAAGAGCCGAAGCATCTGTAGGTCCCTCCGTGGGTGGCAGGGCCCAGAGGGAAATCTGCCTGGAATGTTCTGTTGACCTTGCGCACTGCAGGGAGCCTACGTTCATGGGCTCCCCCCTCCCTGGATAGATGGTACATGTCATAGGAGCTCCGGGAGCTACAGGACAAGGTCACGCTCTCTCCTGCCTGAACCTTGGGGCCCGGCTGGGCTGAGAGAGAAGGTTTCTCATATGGACCTGGAAGGAGAAGAGGCAGTTTCCTCAGGGAGGTTCTTCCTTGTCATAGCTCCCCTCATACCTGAGCTGAGAACTCACTCCCCTGCTCTATGACCTAATGCTCTCTCTCTCTCTCTCACCCTCCACCCCATCTCTCTTCATATCTGTTTCCTCCTTCTACCTTTTCTGTCTCTCTAGGTCTATGACCTCACTTCCCCACCCTGAGGTATGTTTTCCCTTTTTGGATTGTTTTATTCTCTCTGACCCTCCTTGGATTGGTTGACTTGATCTTCCTTTTTCTTTAATTTTGAGTCTCTCACTTTCTGTCTTGTTCATAACTTTCTGCACATTTCTATCTATTTATCTATTTTGTGTCTATCTACAAATTATCTATCATCTATATTTATGTATCACTTATCTATCTCTCTATCAATTGTCTGTCTGTCTATCTATCCATCAATCATCTATTATCTATATATGTATCATCTATCTCTCTCTCTATTACCTCTCTGTCTGCCTCTCTGTCTCTATTTATGTATCATCTATGTATATATCTATGTGTCTATCATCATCATCGTCATCTCTATGTATCATCTATCAGTCATCATCTATGTATCTATAACCAATCCATTATCTATCATCTACCTATTTATCATCTATCTACGTCTATCTATCCATCTATCATCTCTCTCTCTCCGTCTCCTTGTCTTTCTCTGCCTCTCAGTCTCTCTAGTTCTATTTGGAATCTCTGCAATCCATCCCCACATATTTATCTTTCTCTGTCTTTGTGTCCCTCCCTCAGGGTTCTGATTTTGGGGCTTTTCTCTCCTCCTTTCCATCATTCTCTCCATTCTGCCCTCTTTTCTTTCTTTTTATGTGTCTGTGAATCTCTTAATCTCCTTCTTCTGGCTCATTTTGTGTGTGTTTATGTCTTTGCTTTTTGGTGTCCCTGATTTTTCTCTGTGTCTCTCAGCGATCCTATCATATGTGGGATTATTTGGAATATGAGCCTCAGAATCCAGTCTGGGGACCCCAAGTTCACACAGCATACAGGGGTTGGTGTTCAGGGGCCATGATATCCTGGGATGATTACTCTCCATTGCATGGAAGGCAGAGGTGTCAGAATAAACACGGCATCTGTAGGTGGCACAAGGCCTGAGGCCACAGGGCCCAACTCAGGTCAGAAATATGGGTGTCCTTGGGTTCTTCTGGTAGGAACACTTTGTGGAGGTAAAACAGAAATGAAACTTCTAACCTGTGCCAGGTCTCTGAGCAAAGTCAGCATGGAAGGACACCTCTCTCTGGGACATGTCTGTCTGTCTGAGTGTCTCCTTTACCTCTTTCTCTCTTTTCTACCTCCCTGTATGGCCCCTGTGTCTGTCCTCTGTTATGACACCTGTTCTGTACTTATGTCTCCTGTTTCTCTGTCTCTGTTGGTACAGACCTCACCAAGTCACTCTCTTTCCATAAGAATCCCACACTTATCTTCCTCATGACCACCTGGGGGTTCCAAGTCCTGGATCATTCACTCTGTGTCCCAGTGACAATGAGAACAATGTCTAGACACTCTCACCTGTGACCACGATGTCCAGGGGATCACTGGGAGCTGACAACTGATAGGGGGTGTGAGTAACAGAACCGTAGCATCTGTAGGTCCCTGCAAGGGCAAGCATCATGGGACCGATGGAGAAATTGGCCTTGGAGACCCCATCATGGATCTGTCCAACGAGGCGTGAGGGGTCCTTAGAGATCCCCTCTTTGTGCAGAAAGAAGTGCTCAAACATGATATCTGACCAACATTGCAGGATGACTCTCTCTCCTGATTTCACCAGGGGACCTGGGTGGGCCAGGAGGGAAGGTTTTCTGTGGTTTCCTAGAAAGAGAAGTTGTGAGTTTAGAAGGCATCTCTCTTTATCATCCCATCCATGGCACCTGGAATGAGTGAGGGTTCCCCTCCCCGTGTCTGTCTCTCTCCTCCCTCTCTGCATCTCCGTGTCTTTTCTGTGCCCATATCCCCTGGTGCAGGTGCCTCCATCTGTCTTCCTCCCTCTTCTCTGTCCCTCTGTCTCCAGTAGCCCCTGACTCCCTTGCCACTGTGAAGACAGCCTCATCTCTTGGGCTGTTGTATCTGTTTCCCACTAATCTCTTTCCTGCTGTCTATGTGGGGGTGGAAGAGGACAGGCTGCATGTCCAGGCTCTTAGCAGCCTGAATCAATCTCTTTTGAACAAATCCCCAGTTCAAGTGATTCTCTTGCCTCAGCCTCCCCAGTCGTTGGATTACTCGTGCCCACCACCACATCTGGCTATCCTTGTTTGGTTTCCTAACTTGTCCTTGACCTGGGTTCCTGTGTTGGTTTCCTGTTGCTGCTGCAGAAAATTACCACAAACATGGCAGCGGGAGAGAACACACTGACCCCTTCCACTTCTGGAGACAGAAATTGGATCCAGTTCTCCCTGTGCTGAAATCAAGGTGTCTACAGGGCTGCGTTCCCTCTGGAGAATCAGCGAATCAGTTCTCTTGACTTCTCCAGCCCTTAGAGGCCACCTGCATTCTGTGACTAGTGGTCTTCCTCCACCTTCAAAGCCCGCAGTGGCTGATAGCGTCTCCCTCCCACTACACTGCTCTAATCCCCACTCCCCTCTTCCTCCACCTCTCATGTGGACCCTTGTGATTACACTGAGCCCAGTGGGACAGTCCAGGCTGTCTCCCCATCTCAAGGTCAACTCATCAACAACCTGAGCTCCACCTTCCCCTTCAGTCCCCTGCCCTGTAACATAAATAGTCACAGGCTCCAGGGATTACAATGTAGCCATCATTGGGGACAGTGATTCTTCCCACCACAGCACCCATTTCCCCTGTATTCAATCTCCCTTGACCCCAAATACAGTCAGGGCCTGGGTGATGGGACCCTGACGGACACCCCCACCAGAAGCTCTGGGATTCAGGAGGTGGGACAGTGAGAAGCCCAGACGGAAAGCCTCTGACCTGTGACCATGATCACCACGGGGTTGCTGGGTGCCGACCACCCAGTGGGGGAGTGTGGGTGTGAACCCCGACATGTGTAGTTCCCTGCATGTGCTGTGGTCACAGGGCTCATGTTGAAGCTCTCCTGGAATATTCTGCCATGGAAGATGGGAATGTGGATTCTGTCTTCTTTGTATAGCATGAAATTGTTAAACCTATGACGATAGTGACACCGAAGAGTCACGTGTCCTCCTCGAGGCACCACAGCGCTGGGCCAGGCAGACAGGAAGGGTTTGTCCTGACCACCTGGGGGAGAAGGAGGCACTGCCTTAGAGAGGAGGATGTGGAGCCGCCCCTCACTCCCAGTGCCCAGAAGATTCTCCCCATTTCCACTTTCTAAGGCTCCTACCACACCTGGGTGCCCAGGGCTACAGGAAGGACCCATCCTGCATAGACTTGGCGTCTCCCTACAACAAGTGTCAGCTGAGAACTTTGAGCAAGTTGCTGGAGAAGCAACTCTTACTAGATTTTAATACTGCAAAATTACTCATATAAAACAACACAAAGTAGACACGGCATGGAGGGCAAGTCCTATGTGAATGGAATATCAGCCAATTGATGAACTGAGCCCCCATCAGAGGATTTGGAATGTCAGGGCCATGGCTGTGGTTTCCTCACCTTTTCTGGTAGAAAGACCGCAGCCACACTGCAGCCCCTACCATCACGGAAACGCTGGAGGGTGTGAGTTACACCTTTGTCCTCAGAGGACCTGCTGTTCCTAGCACTGCTTCCCTCTCTTTCTCTGCTGCTGACACCACTTCCTCCCTGCACACCCATCTTGGAGCACCCTAGTCTCACCCCAGTCTTCACAGAGCTTGACTCAGGAAAGGGAATGAAAGGCCGGGGAAGGCAAGGTCAGAAATGTGGGCCGAGCATCCGAGGGTCCCCTCTTCCTAGTGTATGAGAGACTCCCCGACAGGACTTCCCTCCCATTTCAGGAAAATCCTCTTATGTGGGGAGATGACACCCTAAGGTTTGGGGAAGGACTCACCCATGTGTGGACCGGCCCTCTGGACCAAGAACAACCCTAGAAAGAAAGATCATGATGGACCATCCCTCTGCAGGCAAACCAGGGCACCCTGCTGCCCCCACTGGGCTGTGCGTCTTGGCAGCCAGGCCCTTGCTGGGCTGAAGGTAAACTCACCCTCGCTGCCTACCTGCCCCCAGGAACAAGGATCTCGGCTGTGCAGAGACTGAGCCTCCAGGCCCAGATCTCTACCTCCAGGCCTAGATCTACACAACAGGCCCAGATCTCCACTCCAGGTCCGTATCTCCACTCCAGGCCCATATCTCCTCTCCAGGCTGGTAAGTCCACTCCAGGCCCATATCTCCACTCCAGGCTCCTATCTCAACTCCAGGCTCATATATCCACTCCAGGCTCATATCTCCACTCCAGGCCCATATTTCCACTCCAGGCTTCTATCTCCTCTCCAGGCCCATATCTCCTTTCCAGGCTTGTATGTCTGCTCCAGGCCCGTATCTCCACCCCAGGCCCATATCTCCACTCCAGGATCATATCTCCACTCCAGGCCCAGATCTCCACTTCATGCCCTTAACTCCACCTCCGGGCCCATAACTCCACCTCTAGGCCCATATCTCCACTCCAGGCCCATATCTCCACTTCAGGCCCATATCTCTACTGCAGGCCCATAACTCCACCTCCAGGCCCATATCTCCACTCCAGGCCCATCGCTCCACTTCTAGGCCCATCACTCCACCTCTAGGCCCACATCTCCCCTCCAGGCCCATATCTCCCCTCCAGGCCCATCTCTCCACCCCAGGCACATATCTCCACCCCAGGCCCATATCTCCACTCCAGGCCCAGATCTCCACTCCAGGCACATATCTCCACCCCAGGCCCCTATCTCCACTCCAGGCCCAGATCTCCACTCCAGGCCCAGATCTCCACTTCAGGCCCATAACTCCACCTCTAGGCCCATAACTCCACCTCTAGGCCCATATCTTTACCTCCAGGTCCAGATCTCCATCCCCGCACTCCCTCCCTCGATTCCCTTCCAGGACTCACCAACACACGCCATGCTGACGACCATGAGCGACATGGTGCTGCCGGTGCAGACAGGCGGCTGCGCCCCAGCTCAGCTCAGCAGCGCACAGGATGTTATTTGGCGCCCTGCCCATGCAGTTTACATGTTGACCACATCATGGGAGGGTGACGTACGCAGGCTCTTTCTACCTTGCATGAGGCCCAGTGGGTGCTCGCTCAAGAGCGGAACATGGCTTCCTGGAAATTGCTCTCACTAGAATTGACACCTCGCGTCCTTCACTATGACCAACTCAAAACACGTCTCAGATCCAACCTCCCGAACACGAGATGCCTAAAATCTGTGCTAACATGAAAGACTTTTCATGTATTTTTATTGTTTTTATCTGAGATTCAAACTCTTCTTCCTGTGTAATATGCAAAATATCTAATAGGTATTATTAAGGTTTTCAGAGCAATTGTGACAATAAACCATTAGAATTTTTCATGATTGTATTTCTAGTATTACAGCAGAACCAGTTCAAATGATTTAAACTCCCAGGGAAGGATTATGCAATTATTTACAATCTTAGAATTGTACTTTATCAGCAAAAATCACAACATGTAAATTCTGGATTTTTGTAGATTTATCTAGAATTTGTCTCATGTCCCAAGATTCCAGAGTTCCAACTCATGGTTTGCTCTCTCTCTGTCTCTCTGCCTCCCTCATTTTAAATTTTACAGAAATATCCAGTAACATAATGCTATAGAAAATCAATTTCCCCAGCACTTTGGAAGCCGAGGTGAGTGATCAACCGAGGTCAGGAGTTTGAGACCAGCCTGGCCAATATAGTGAAACCATGTCTCTGCTAAAAATACAAAAATTAGCCATGCCTGGTAGCAGGCACTTGTAATGCCAGCTATTCAAGAGGCTGAGGCACGGAATCCCTTGAACCTGGGAGGCGGAAGTTGCAGTGAGCCGAGATCGTGCCACTGCACTCCAGCCTGGGCAACAGAGCGAGACTCTGCCTCAAGAAAAATAAAAAAAGCATAGCAAATAGCCTATAATAAATAACTAGAGGACTCCAGCTACCAAATTTTAGGGGTTGTATAAGGCTGCATAAAATGCAGCATTCTCAAGAGAGTGGACAGAGAGAGAGCCACTGAGCAGAAAACAGTGTCTAAAATACATCCGTGTACACACAGTCCCTTTATAGTTGACAAAGGCTGCCATGTGGTTTAAGGTGGAATAGAATGTCTTCTCAATAAATAACATGGGCCCAAGGGTTACACATAGAGAAAAATATATCTAAACGTATTCTCACACTATAAAACACTTGTTTATTTTATCTTGTTATTGTAATTTTTTTATGTTTTATATTTAAAATTGAGAAATAAAAATTATATACAGTCATCCCTCACTATTCGTGGGTGATTGGTTTCAGGATCTCCACTCAGATAGCACAATCTGCAGACGCTCAAGCCTCTTACATGAAATGGCACAGCATTTGCAAATAACCCATGCACATCCTCCTGTGTACATGAAATCATCCCTTGATTATTTATAATTCCTGATACAGCCTACACACAGCTTCATTTGTGTCCATTCAACATAGTTTTGCTTTTTGAAACTTTGTGGATTTTTTCTCTGAATATTTTTGATTTATATTTGGTTCAATAAACACCTGTAAATCCCACAGATACAGAGGACCGACTGTATATTTATAGTATGAAAGATGATGTGTTGATATGTGTCCCCGTGGAGATGAGACTAACAAGGCCTATGACTCTACAAATGTTTCATCATGGAATGACTCTGCCAGCTTTCCAGGTCTGCAGAGAGTAAGAATATCACTTGTTCATGTGATTCACGATCCTTGGAACCTCTTATGTGCTGCATCTTTGGATGGAAATTGGAGTCTCAGAGACAAATCAGGCTCCACCCTGCTTCCAGAAGCTCCAAGTCCAGGGGTGAGAACCCAGTGGAGAACAGTTGGAGTTATTTGGACATGGTAATGATAACACTGGAAACTTTCAGCCAAAAAAAGAGTCACCTAAAGAATGAAGGCAGACATGTTTATTTGAAGAGGAGAGAACTACACTGAAATCAAAAAAATTTTATAAGGTTTGCTGATGCCAGAAGGCTGAAAAATAGTCTGAGGAAAGGTGGAACAGCACGAGGGAAGGTGGAACAGCACGTGTCTAAGTGCCGTGTTAAGAGAGAGCCTCTTGTATGTTTGGAATTGTGAGTTCCTCAGTGTGATTGCAGCCTCAAGTAGACTAGGAAGTAAGCCAGTTAGGTTGGAGAGGTGGGCAGGGGTCAAGTGAAATAGAGAATTGTGGGCTAAGCAAAGGAGTGTGTTTTCTCTGCAGCAGGCAGTGGGGACCTTAGACATTGGTAAGCAAGAGACAGGCACCAGATTTGTGGTGTGAGGAAGAGTGATGCTCTAAGATGGAGACTCACGCCTTCAGATTCCAGCTGCTGGTACATTAGAGCTGGCAAGCTGGGTTTGAGACAGGGCTGTTGTCTCCCTAGAAGATCCCATCAAGGCCTGACTGTGGTGCTCATGGGCAGGAGACAACGCTCTGGGCTCAGCATTTGGAAGTTCTATACACACGCTGGTATCTGTTGAGGGTCTCTTGCTCCTCTGAGAAGGGCCAGTGATTTTTCTCTGTGTGAAAATGCAGTGATCCAACTGTGCGTATGTCACCTCCTGAGGGTCTTGTTCATCAGAGTCCTGGAGAGAGGGAAATCCTGAGTGAGGGAGGGTGTTCACATTTTTCAGGACTATTTCGGAATAAGACTGTATCCATGAGGCTGGGCTAGGAGGACCTACCTCCCTGTTCACTGTTCTGTGTCCCGCAGGCTCTTGGTTCATTACAGCAGCATCTGTAGGAGACGGAAGCAATCAAAACAGCTGGGAGGGCACTTCTGGGTCCTCATTTCATGAACAGATACCAACACACAGGGGGAGGCCATAGGTGCCTGAGGTCCCTCAGCTGCCAACAGCCAGACTCAGACATTCCATCTCTCTGAGTGCAAGACCCCATTCCATGAATAGCTGTCAGTTCCCATCCCATTGATTCTATCTCCCACTTTCTGCCTGTCATGGAATCTTCTCCTGGATGTGAGTGGCTGCAGGGGACGTGAGGATACAGTTCACAATCAGGCAACGGTCTGTGAGCTGAAGGCAGGGGCAGGGTGTCTGGTGCTCTCTCTAGAAAGCTCTGCCTCTGGCTCCTGCCTTGGGCCAGAGACTTTCCTGCCAGTGAGGAACACACACCTGCGTGCTCCCATCCTGCTTCCGCACAGGGCCCTGAGTTCTCTGGCCTCTGCTTCGTGAGGCTTACTTTTTTTTTGGAGCACCAGCGATGAAGGAGAAAGAAGGGAAGGATGGTAAAGAGGATGATGGCCACTGAGTACCTAATCACAGCATGCAGGTGTCTGGCGATACCTGGAGGAAGATGGGAATCCAATAAGAAGCTAACCATAGCAGTTCCTCTTTGTGGATTGTCTCTCATTTCTTGGTTGCCAGGCAACCACATAAAACACCTCTTTAAGACAAGCACCCACGAGGCGGGAGACCCAGCTTTCTCCTGCTTTCTCCGTTATAGTTTTCATAATAACAATAGAATGTGCTGATGATACAACTGCTATTGTTTCAATGTTTGACCCCTCCAAACCCCACTTTGAAATTTAATCCCCAGTGTGGGAGTTGTGCCTATTGGGAGGGGTGTTTTGGTCATGGGGGTGGATCCATCATGAATAGATTAATGCTGTCCCCAGAGGACGGGGTTAGCAAGTTCTCCCTCTATTAGTACCCTGGAGAGTTGATTCTTAAAAAGAGCTTGGAAGCTCCATCACACCCCCTTTCTCCCTCTCTTGCCATGTGATCTCTGTGGTCTCTGCACACGCAGGACCCCCTTCTCTTCTGTCAGTGTGGGAGCAGCCTGAGGCCGCAGCCAGAAATAGATGGTAGTGTCCTGCTTCTAGTACAGCGTGCAGATCAGTGAGCCAAACACATCTCTTTTCTTTAGAAGATACCCAGGCTCAAGTGTTCTTTTATAGCAACAAAAATAGGCTAAGACAGCAACATCCTGAGATCAGGAGGAACGTCTCAGAACAGCCTGGGCTGTCTTCCTGTTCTTCCTGGAGGAGAACATCATGCAGTGCTTTAGCTGAGTGTTCCCTGTGGCTCCAGGGTACAAAACCCAGGCTGGGCTGCTTTCTGGCTTCCCCCAGCTACAGTGCACATGAAGTGACTCCATGTGTCCTGAGCAGTTTTTCTGAGCCTTGAGGGACTGGCTCACCCTGAAAGGAAGGTTTCTGTTGTCACTCGCTGCTTATCTATAAGTAATGAACCTGCCTATGTAATGTATTCCCTGTGTGTTCTGTCTCCCTGGAGTGATGGTGAGTGATAGAAATTGGCACAGCCCCAGGTGCAGTATGGGAGGTGTTTAGAGTCTTCTCTGGGAAGACTGGACTGGGATTGATACACAGTGAATGTGCTTTACAGTTTCTACATCCACAACCCTCTTGACTCAAACAAATTACATTCTCCAAGAAAAGGAAAAAACAGTGACATTGAAATCAACATAAGTGAGGTTGAGCTGTCTTATATCAAACAGCCAGGAAATAATGATGAAGCTCGTGGGCAACATGCTACTTTTGTCATCTTGGGAGTCAGATATTAGGCTGCTGTTCCACCCGAGAGTCTGGGGGAAAGACCACCCCCTCCATCATCTGTTGCTTCAATACAGCCTGTCTTTCTGTGAATTACTCCAAAAGGTGACCAGGAGATAGTGCTGGCACTGGTCTCTGAGTCTACGATCTGAACTCCAAAGAATATTAGTTTTTACCTCCCCATGATCTATCTGTATCATTAATGTGATTGGAAGTAGGGGTGAGGTGGGGGATTTGGGTGAAGGGGCAAGTTTTGTGCCATGAACAGATCACGTTCTCTATTCCAGGACCTGTGCTGGTGGGTTTCACATTTTCCATATGATCTCATGCTCACAGAA
This sequence comes from Homo sapiens, assembly GCF_000001405.40. NCBI lineage: Eukaryota > Metazoa > Chordata > Mammalia > Primates > Hominidae > Homo > Homo sapiens. Next base: position 88,923 of record NT_187677.1, on the reverse strand, counting down.
AGCCAAATAAGGAAGATGTTTTCGCCTGATTTTCTTACGGATAGGATAAAGGATCAAAGAAGTCATTATAGAGAAATAGAAAAATGATGATTGGAATTGGTGTGCCTTTGTCATTCGTGTATGTTATATTATATTTATGTATTCTTTATTTTTATTTTTTGCCATGGAGTCTCACTCTGTCACCTAGGGTGCAGTGCAATGACGCGATCTTGGCTCACTGTAACCTCTCCCTCCCTGGTTGAAGCCATTCTCCTTCTTCAACTTCCCGAATAGCTGGTATTACAGGCACGCGCCACCACCCCCAGCTAGTTTTTGTATATTTAGTAGAGATGGGGTTTCACCATGTTGTCCAGGCTGATCTCGAACTCCTGATCTCACTTGATCCAGCCTCCTCAGCCTCCCAAAATGTTGGGTTACAGGTGTGAGCCACCGTTCAGAACCTTGTGTGTTATATTATAATAGGTCTCTTCCTTTGCACCACCCCTCATGTATCTCTCACTCCTCTGCCAAGTATTGATTTACATGTAGGAAAAATAAATCTCAGAAAGAAATCAATGAAGTGAAGATTAAACAATTAGGAAAAATCAAACCAGGCAAGCCCTCCCTGCAAATTACTCTACCTCACAAACACATCTTGTGTCCATCTTTCATTCATTTAGTGTCTAAATCAGCACCACATTTCACCAGGGGGGCGGGAATTGCCTTTTCCACAGTCTCCTAGATTCCAGTTATGCACCTGGGCCTCCCTTATTTTCATGTCAGTCACTATTCATCATGTAGGGATTCCCAGTTAGCCCCGAGGTAAGTCCAATGGCTGTGAGTATCAAACACACGCTCCTTGTTGCTCCTTAGTTTCCTGTGTACCCAGTGTGCTCTCTGTCTCTCCACAGTCGTCTTGTCATTCTCCCCATGTCATTCCCAGCATTTCAGGCAGAGCCTCTTCCTTCCACATAACATTGTTTTCACCTTTGTGCCTTCACGGCTGACAGCTGTGTGGAAAATCCTTCCGCCAATCTTCCAGGGGTTGATCTATTTTTTTCATTAAGGTCACAAGTATTATTTGATCAGTGAGAACTTCTCTGTCACCCGAAATTATACACTCAGCATTATCTATTATTTCTTTTAAAATACGGCTCGGCGCCTTGGCTCACGCCTCTAATCTCAGCACTTTGGGAGGCTGAGACGGGCGGATCCCTTAAGGTTGGGAGTTTGAGATAGCCTGGGCAACATGGTAAAACCTTGTCTGTACTAAAAAAAAATACCAAAAAAAAATTAGCCAGGCGTGGTGGGACATGGGTGTAATCCCAGCCTCTCGGGAAGCTGAGTGTAGAGAATCGCTTTAACCTGGGAGGTGGAGGTTGCGGTGAGCCGAGATCCCGCCACTGCACTCCAGCCTGGGGCACAGAGGGAGACACTGTCTCATAAAAACAACCAATCAATCAATCATTCTCATGCACAGATGCTTCCCAATGGATCATTCATTTATTGGTCCACTGGTGCATTCATTTTCTGCCCTCCCATTTAATCCTTTGCAATATCAGTGTCCAAGAGCAGAGGCCAAATGCACCTTGTTTACCATTTGTGGAAAGGATAAGAATGCCGCCCCACCCCAAAATATTCCTGTCCTAGTCGCCATATCTTGTGAATATGTTATTTTACATGGAAAAAAGGAATGCAGATTGCAGATGGAATTACGGTTGCTAATCAGCTAACCTTAAAAGGAGGGTATCCTAGATGATTTTAGGGAAATTATGATGGATTATCTTGGTGTTTCCAATAGAATGCCAAAGTCCTTAAAAGATGAGGAAGAAGGCAGAGCAGCATTCAGAGAAAGAGGTGTGGACAAGGAAGAAGGGTCTGAGTGATGCCGTGTGAGAGGCGTGACCAGCCTTTGTGGACTTTGAGGGAGGAAGACGGGGACCAGGAGCCAAGGAATGTGGGAGCCTCTAGGAGCTGGGAAAAGTGAGGAAGCAGATTCTTGCCTGGAACATTCAGAGGGAAGGCAGCCTTGCTGTCACCTTGATTTTAGCCCAGTGAGATGATGCATTTCATACTTCTGAGCTACAGCACCATGAGATATTTTTTAAAAATGTGGTTTCCATCCACGAAGCTTGTGGAAATTTGTTATGGCAACATAGGAAAAGGTTCCACACTGCACAGTCTGAGCATGGGGCAGTGGCTGAACGAGTAAGTGGAAGTGTCATGTGCACGGATGAACTACGTTCTCTCTTACCGCAAAGCTCTTGTTCCACTAAGTCAACCAGGGTTGGATCATGACAGACAGGAGCTCATTCCTTGGCAAGTAGAACTTCTCTACAAATACACCACCCTCAAAAATGTTCCCCTTCCTTCCCCTTCTCAAGCCCCCAGGCATTTGTCCTCCCAGTTAGGAATGCAGGCAGAACAAACACAGCATTTTTCCTGAGAAGAATGTCTGATTTGCACTCATCCTTCTACCCTGAGGTCTCAGCAGCAGAAAATTAGAGATTAAGAGATTTCACTGAGCCCTGTGCTGGGCCCAGATCCCTTTCGCTGTTGGAGTGTCTGGGGTTCAGAGACAATGGAAGACAGGCCCACAATCACAGAGCTGGCAGGTGCTGAGCCAACGCTTGAATCCAAGGCTTCTACCTCCCCAGGTTTCCAAAAGCAGAGATAAGAGGGGTCCTTCACTTACCAGTTTTGAAGCTTGGTTCAGTGGGTGAAGGCCAACTACTAGAAGGGTTTCCTAGAACACGGGACAGGAGAGAGGTGTGGCAATGAGGATGCCTGTCTTCTACTCAATGGAAATCTTTGAGGTTGGTTCATGGCCAACATTCTATTATCTAATGTTGGGCCCTGGGAGTCCTGGCATCCCATTCTCCATAATCATTGTAGGTGACACCAACTATCTTGAGACTTCAAGGTATAAGGAGAAAACAGGAGCATCACACTACCTGACTTAAAAATATGTTACAGAGCTGTAGTAAGCAAAACAACATGACATTGGCATAAAGAAAAGCACATAAAACAATGGAGCAGAATGCAGAACACGGATGTAATCCACCCATTTACATCCAATGGACTTTGACAAAGGTTCGAAGAATCTACAATCTGGAAAGGACAGTCATTTCAATAAATGGTGCAGGGAAAACTGGATATCTACATGCAGAGGGATGAAACTGCACCTCTACCTCTCACCATACACAAAAATCAGATGAAAATGGATTAATGACTTAAGACCTGAATCCATTAAATGTCTAAAAGGAAACACTGGAGAAATGCTCCAGGACATTTGTCTGAGGGAAGACATTTTGTTTAAAACCTCAAAAACACAAGTAATCACAACAACAACAAAAAAATAGACCATTGGGATTATATCAAATCAAGCAGCTTCTGCACCGCAAAGGAAGCAACCAATGAAGTGAAGAAGAGACAACCCACAGAATGGGAGCAAATATTTGCAAACTATGCATCTGAGATGGGATTAATAACTAGAATATAAAAGAAGCTCAAACACCTCAATAAAACTAATAATTTAATTATAAAATTAGTAAAAGACCTGAACAGACATTTCTCAATGAACAAAACATACAAATGAACATATATACATTGCATATATGAAAAAGTGCTCAGTATCACTAATCATCAGAGAAATGCAAATGAAGTCACAATGAGCTATCATCTCACCCCATTACAATGGGTTTTATCTCAGAGACAGACAAAACAAATGTTGGCAAGGTGGTGGAGAAAGGAGAACCCTAATACACTGTTGATAGGAATGTAAATTAATACAGCCATTACAGAGGAGAAGAATATGGAAGTTCCTTAAAAACTAAAAAGAGATTAGGCACTGTGTCTCACGCTTGTAATCCCAGCACCTTGGGAGGCTGAAGTGGGCAGATCACTGGAGGTCAAGAGTTCGAGACCAGCCTGGCTAACATGGTGAAACCCCGTCTCTACTAAAAATACAAAAATCAGCCAGGCGTGGTGGCGGGCACCAGTAATCCCAACTACTCGGGAGGCTGAGGCTGGAGAATCACTTGAATCCTGGAGGTAGAGGTTGCAGTGAGCCCAGGTGGTGCCATTGCACTCCAGCTTGGGCAACAAGAGTGAAACGCTATGTCAAAAAAACAAAAAGCATAAAACAAAACCTAAAAAGAGAACATCCAGAGGATCTAGCAATTCCACTAGTGGGTGTAAATGCAAAGAAAAGGACTTCAGTGTATTGAAGTGACATCTGCACTCCCATGACTGTTCCAGCACTGTTCACAGTAGCCAAGATGTGGAGTCAACCTACCTGCCCATCAGTGGATGAATGGATAGAGAGAAAGTAGTACATACACACAATGGAGACAACTCATCCATACAAAGAGTAACGTCCTGTCATTTGCAGCCACATGGATGGACTGGAGGTCATTACAAGGATTGCCATTTCTTACTCACATGCAGGATGTAAAAGGTGGACCTCATGAAGGTAGAGAGTAGAATGGTGGATACCAGAGGTTAGGAAGGAAGGGGTGGAGGGTAACAAAAGAAGAATATAAAAGTATTTATTTATTTATTTAGAGACAGAGTCTCTCTGTGTCACCAGGCTGCAGTGCAGTGGCATGATCTCAGCTCACTGCAACCTCCTCCTCCTGGGTTTAAGCCACTCTCCCGCCTCAGCCTCCCAAGTTGCTGGGATTATAGGCGCCTGGCACCATGCCTGGCTAATTTTATTTTTTTTGTCTTTTTAGTAAAGATTGGTTCCCCCATGTTGGCCAGGCTGGTCTCCAGCCCCTGATTTTAAATGATCCACCTGCCTTGGCGTCTCAAAATGCTGAGATTACAGGCATGAGCCACCGCACACAGCATATAAAGGTATTTATGATCCCTAGATTTTACACTTAAAAATGGTAAAGTTGATAAATTATATAGGTATATTTAACCTCAATCAGCATTTTTTCAAAGGAAAAGAAAAAGTGTAGGGGTTGCTGGTGATGACATCTCTGTGTAGGTGAGAGGCCAGGGTGGGCTTCTGGGAAATGGGTAAGGTTGAGGGGCTGAGGGAACCTCTGATCTCCCCAAACTGAGCCCAGTCTCCCTCCTCTGGGTCTGTCCTGACCACTTTCTCCATCTGCCTGGGTACCCGGAGCCCTTACTGCAAGCTTCCATGCAGGCCATGCAGGAGGGTTTGGAGGTGCCCTGTCTGCCATCCTGTGCCCTGATCCCACCCTCACACCATGCTGCATCTTCTCTCCACATCTGTCCATGCTTCTCTCCATCATCAGCAGGAAGCTCCTCAGCTAAGGCTCTAGGACCATAGGACATGGGACAGACATTGGCTTTCCTCACCTGTGACAGAAACAGGCAGTGGGTCACTCGGGTCTGACCACTCGTAGGGAGATCCATGGAAAGAGCCGAAGCATCTGTAGGTCTCTCCGTGGGTGGCAGGACCCAGAGGGAAGTCGGCCTGGAATGTTCCATTGATGCTGGGCACTGCAGGGAGCCTAAGTTCATGGGCTTCCCCCTCCCTGGATAGATGGTAGATGTCAAAGGAGCTCTGGGAGCTGCAGGACAAGGTCACGTTCTCTCCTGCGCGAACCGTGGGGCCCGGCCGGGCTGTAAGCGAAGGTTTCTCATATAGACCTGGAAGGAGAAGAGGCAGTTTCCTCAGGGAGGTTCTTCCTTGTCACAGCTCCCCTCCCACCTGAGCTGAGAACTCACTGCCCTGCTCTATGGCCTAGTGCTCTCTCTCTCTCTCTCACCCTCCACCCCCAACTCTTCCTGTCGATCCCTCCCTATGTGGTTCCAGCCTGGTGGTGGCATCAGCAGTGCACCCTTGCTGATCTCAGGGTAGCCAACCTTCTTGTTTGGTTTTTTAACTTGTCCTTCACCTGGGTTCCTGTGTTGGTTTCCTGTTGTTGCTGGAGAAAATTATCACAAACATGGCGGCAGGAGAGAACACACTGACCCCTTCCACTTCTGGAGACAGAAATCAGACCCTGTTCTTCCTGGGCTACAATCAAGGCATCTGCAGGGCTGCATTCCCTCTGGAGACTCGGGAGAATCAGTTCCATTGATTTCTCCAGCCCCTTCGTGGCTCGTGGTCTTCCTCCACCTTCAAAGCCCACAGTGGCTGGTGGAGTATCCCACGATGCTGCTCTAATCCCCATTCTCCTCTTCCTTCTCCACTCATATGGACCCTTGTGATTACACTGAGCCCAGTGGGAGAGTCCAGGCCATCTCCCCATCTCAAGGTCAACTCATCAACAACCTGAGCTCCATCTTCCCCTTCAGTCCCCTGCCCTATAACATAGTCACAGGCTCCAAGGATTACAATGTGGCCATCGATGGGGACAGTTATTCTTTCCAACACAGCACCCATTCCCCTGTATTCAATCCCCCTTTACCCCAAATATAGTTGGGGCCTGGATGATCGGACTCTGGTGGACACCCCCACCAGAAGCTCTGGGACTCAGGAGGTGGGACAAGGAGAAGCCCAGACAGGAGCCCTCTGACCTGTGACCATGATCACCAGGGGGTTGCTGGGTGCCGACCACTCAGTGGGGGAGTGCGGGTGAAAACCTCGACATCTGTAGGTCCCTGCGTGTGCTGGGGTCACAGGGCTAATGAGGAAACTGTTCCAGAATATTCTGTTGTAGAGCTCAGGGACAGGGACCCCATCTTTCTTGTACAGCGTGAAGATGTTAAACCCACGACGATAGTGACACCGAAGAGTCACGTGTCCTCCTTGAGGCACCACAGCGCTGGGCCAGGCAGAGCAGAAGGGCTTGTCCTGACCACCTTGGGGAGAAGGAGATGCCGCCTCAGAGAGGAGTATGTTGAGCTGCCCCTCCCTCCCTGTGCTCAGAAGATTCTCCCCATTTCTTCTTTCTAAGGCTCCTACCACACCTGGGTGCCTGGGGCTACAGGAAGGACCCATCCCGCATAGACGTGGCGTCTCCCTACAACAAAAGTGTCAGTTGAGAACTGAGCAGGTGCTGAGTAAGGGACTCTTACTAGATTTTAATACTGCAAGATTAGTTACACCAAAGAACACAAAGTAGACATGGGGTGGAGGGTATGACCTTTGTGAATGGAATATTAGCTAATGCCTGAACCACAATAAACAACTGAGCTCCATCAGAGGATTTGGAATGGCAGGGTCGTGGCTGTGGTTCCCCCACCTCTTCTGGCAGAATGACAGCAGCCACACTGCAGCCCCTACCGTCATGGAAACGCTGGAGGGTGTGAGTTACCCTCTTGTCCTCAGAGGACCTGCTGTTCCTAACACTGCTACCCTTCCCTCCTCTGTCGGTGACACCACATCCCCCCACACACCCCAGCTTTGAGCACCTCAGTATCCCGCCTGGGCCACACAGAGCTCAACTCAGCCATGGGGAAGAAAGGCTGGGGAGGGCTAAGACAAAACAGAGGGCTGAGCATACCAGGATCTCCTCTTACTAGTTCATGAGAGACTCCCAGGATCTCCTCTTACTAGTTCATGAGAGACTCCCAGGATCTCCTCTTACTAGTTCATGAGAGACTCCCCCCAGGCCTTCCCATGGTCAGCCCATCAGCCCACCCTCTGTGCTGCCTCCCTCCCATTTCTGGAAAATTCACTTGTATTGGGGTGAAGATGGCAACCCATCATTTGGGGAAGGACTCACCCACGTGTGCCCACACACTCTGGTCCAAGAAGAACCCTGCAAAGAAAGATCATGATGAACTATTCATCTCGGCAGCAACCTACCCTTTCCTCCTGAGCCACTGGGCGCCACGCTGGACTGAAAATTAACTCATCCTCACCACTCACTTGCTTCAGAACATGGCTCTCTGCTGGGGAGACACCCAATCTGCAGGCCCATAGTGTAACCCTGGTGCTCCTTCCCTTCCAGGACTCACCAAGACATGCCAGGATGATGACCGTGGGTGACATGGACATGGTGCAGCTTCTGCTGCCAGGACGCAGTGACTCGGCTCGACTGACCGGTGCAGAGGATGTGGTGAGGGGCCCGGATCGTGCAGTTGACACATTGACCACAACATGTGAAGGGGACATAGGTAGGCTTCTTCTACGTCATATGAGGTTCAAGTGGTGAATCAGTCAAGGGAGGAATGAGGGTTTCTGAAAACTGCAGACTAGACTTGTCACTTCACATCATGCGCAACGGCCAGGCTCAAAACACATCTCAGACTCACTTACCCCTGCACGGGACGATTGAATTCTGCACTCACATGAGGAAATTTGATGTATTTTTTTTTGTTTCTACCTGAGATTCAAACTCTCCTTGATATGTAATATGCAAAATACCTAATAGGTTTTATTAACACTATAGAGCAATCGTATTAAATAAATCATCATAATTTTCCATGGTTGTATTTTTCCTGTTAAGCCAGAAACAGATAAAATGATTTAAATCCCAGTAGAAAAGACTATATAGTTATTTCGCATCATAGAATTCCACCTTATTAGCAAAAACACAATATGTCAATTGAAGGTCTGGTCGTGTTATCTAGAATTTGTCTTATGACACAAGAGTCCAAATTCACAGTTCCCTGTCTCCCTTTTTGTCTCTCTGTAACGTGTGCTTTTTTTCTCCCTGTGTTGTTTGTGTGTCTTTCTTTCTCTCTCTCATTTGAGGAAAAAATATCAGACTGATAACATCCTCCAACTTGATACTGGAATATTGCAATAACTGAAGGTTGAAATCTACACATTTAATGTGCTGTCATTCTTACAAATGTCTCTTATTTACACCTATCTTTCTGGAGTTTGTAAGAACTTTTTCACTATGCATTTTAAATTTGTAAAACTCATAATTTTTAAAAAGGGATGGGTCTCACTGTTTGCCCAGGGTGGCCTTTACTCATTCTATAAGGCTGGCATCACCCTGATACTAAAGACAGAAAAGAACATTAAACAAAAGAAAACTACATGCCAATATTCCTGATGAACATAGAGGCAAAAATCCACAAAAAATACTAAGAACTGAATCCCGCAGCATATCAAAAAGTGAATCCACCATGATCAAGTCAACTTTATTCTTAGGGTGCAAGGTTGGTTGAACATACACAATCAATACATGTGATTCATCACCTAAACAAAACTAAAAACAAAAACCACATGATCTTCTCAACACACATGTAGAACATACTTTTTACTAAGCATTTCTTCATGTTAAAAGCCCTCAACAAGCTAAGCATTGAAGAAACATAACTCAATATAATAAGAGCCGCCTGTGACAAACCCACAACCAACATCATACTGAATGAGTAAAAGCTGGAAGAAGTTCCCTTCATAAGTGAAACAAGACAAGAATGCCCACTCTCACCATCCTATTCAACATAGTACTTGAAGTCCTAGACAGAGCCATCAGGAAAGAGAAAGAATTATAAGGCATCCAAGTAAGAAGAGAGTAGCAGAGAGAGGTAGTCAAATTACCTCTGTTTGAAGATGAGATAATTTCTATACCTAGAAACCCCATAGTCTCTGCCCAAAGGCTCCTACATCTGAGAAACAAACTTCAGCACAGTTTAAGGGCAGAAAGTCAATGTACAGGCTGGGTGTGGTGTCTCAGCCTGAAATCTAGCACTTTGGGAGGGCGAAGCGGGTGGATCACCTGAGGTCTGGAGTTCGAGACCAGCCTGGCCAACATGGCGAAACCCTGTCTCTACTAGAAACACAAATATAGCCGGACGGGGTGGTACGCAACTGTAGTCCCAGCTGCTTGGGAGGCTGAGTCAGGAGAACCGCTTGAACCTGGGAGGCAGAGGTTGCAGTGAGCGGAGATCACGCCATTGCACCTCAGCTTGGGCAACAACAGTGAAACTGCATCTCAAAAAAAAAACCAAAACAAATTTAATTAATGAGGAAAAGGGTATTTGTGGTGTCCATCATGATGTTTTCATATAGGTACACATTGTGGAATGGATGAAACAACCTCTTTATCATATTTATTTTTTCACATACTTGTATGTTTTGTGTGTGTGGTGAGAACATGTAAAATCTAATCTCTTAGTAATGTTCAATACACCATATGTTGCTATTAACTGGAGTCACCAAGACATACAATAGATCTCTTGAACCGATTTCTTCTAACTGAAATTTTGCATCCTTTGACCAACATCTCTTCAATCTCTCTCCATCCCAGGTTCTTTCGACGACCATTTTACTGTTCCTCTAGGTTCCACTTCTTACACTCCACACATGAGATCATGTGGCATTTGTCTTTCTGTGCCTGGATTGTTTCCCTTAACATAATGTCCTCTAAGTTTTTTCACATTGTCACAAATGAGAGGACTTCCTTCTTTGTTGTAAAGGTTGTATAGTACTTCATTACGTTCCTATCGTATACCACGTTTTCTTTGTCCATGCACCCATAGATGGGCAGTAAGGGTGATTCCACATCTTGGCTGTTATGAATAATGCGGCTGTAAACATGGGAATGCAGATATCTCTTCAACATACTGATTCCACTTCCTTTGGATACATGCGCAGTAGTTGGATTGCAGACACATATGGGAATTCTATGTTTAATTTTTTCAGGAACTTCCAGACTGTTTTCCATAATGGTTGTGCTAATTTACATTCCCATCAACTGCATACAAATGTTCCCTTTTCTCCACATCCTCGTTAACCCTTGTTATTTTTTATGTTTTTGATAATGGTCTTTTTTTTTTTTTTTTTTTTGAGACTCAGTCTTGCTCTGTCACCCAGGCTGGAGTGCAGTGGCACAATCTCGGTGTACTGCAACCTCTGCCTCCTGGGTTCAAGCGATTCCCCTGCCTCAGTCTCCAGAGTAGCTGGGACTACAAGTGTGCGCCACCAAACTCTGCTAATTTTTGTATTTTTAGTAGGGATGGGGTTTCACCATATTGGCCAGGCTGGTTTCGAACTGCTGACCTCAGGTAATCTCCCTGCCTCGGCCTCCCAAAGTGCCTGAATTACAGGCATGAGCCACCATGCCCAGACTGTTAATGGTCATTCTAAGAGGTGTGAGGTGATATCTCATTCTAGTTTTAATTTTTATTTAGCTGATGTTTAGTAATGCTAATCATTTTTTCATATACCTTTTGGTGATTTGTCTTATTCTTAGAAATGTTTATTCAGATACTTTGCCCATTTTTTTAAGTTGGGTTATTTGATTTCTTACCATTGAGTTGTTTGAGTTTCTTATATATTTTGGATATTAATTCCTTATTAGATGTATGGGTGCAAATATATTCTCCCATTCCATAGGTTGTCTTTCCACTTGTTGAGTTTTTTTTTTCTTTGCAGAAACTTTCAATTTGATATAATGTTATTTGTCTACTTTTGCTTTTGTTGCCTGGGCCTTTGGGTTAATATCCAAAATGGTTTTGCCCAAGCCAGTGGAGTTTTCCCTTGATTTCTTTTAGTAGTTTTTTTTTTTTTTTTAAGATGGAGTCTCACTGTGTTGCCCCGGCTGGAGTGCAGTGGTGCGATCTCGGCTCACTGCAACCTCTACCTCCTGGGTTCAAGTGATTCTCCTGTCTCAACCTCCCGAGTAGCTGAGATTACAGGCACCCACAACCACACCCAGCTGTTTTTGTATTTTTAGTAGAGGCGGGATTTCACCATGTTGGCCATGCTGGTCTTGGAATCCTGACCTTAGGTGATCTGCCCACCTTGGCCTCCCAAATTGCTGGGATTATAGTCTTTCATCTTACATTTAAGTCATTAATCTATCTTGAGTTGACTTTGTATGTTTTGTGAGGCAAATGTCCACTTCCATTCTTCTGCATGTGGACATGCAGTCTCCCAATCCCATTTATTAAAGAGACTGTTCCTTCTCCATTGTGTGTTCTTGACACATCCCAAAAATTGTTTGACCCTAAATGCATGCATTTTTTTCCTGGGCTATGAATCACTTCCATTGGTCTATGTGTCTGTTTTTATGCAAGTACTGTGTTGTTTTAATTACTGTAATTTTGTAATGTAGTTTGTGTTTAGGTAATGTGATGCTTCCAACTTTGTTCCTTTCCCTCTAGATGGCTTTGGTTATTTGAGATCTTTTGTGGTTCCACATGAATTTTAGGACTGTTTTTTCTATTTCTGTAAAAAAAATGTCATTGGATTTTTGATAATGGTTGCATTGAATCACTTTGGATAGAATGGACATTTTAACAACATTAATCCTTCTGATCCGTGAACATGGAATATCTTTCGATTTATTTGTTTATTTCTTGAGTTTTTTCATCAATGTTTTATAGCTTTTGCATACAGATCTTTCTACTCCTTGGGTGAATTTATTCCTGCATGTTTTGTTTTCTGTAGTTATTGCAAATGGGCTTATTTTCTTGTAAACTTTTTTGGATAGTTTGTTGTTAATGTATAGAAACTTTGTTGTTGTTGTTGTTGTTGTTTTGATGATACCCATCCTAAGGGGTATGAAATGGCATCTGGTGTAGTTTTAGTTAGTATTTCCCTAATGATTCGTGATGCTGAATATCTTTTCATGCGTATGTTCTTTGGAGAAATGTCTGTTTCAGTACTTTGCCCATTTTTGAATTGAGTTTATTGTGATTGAGTTTTAGGAGTTGTCTGTATATTCTGGATGTTAATCCCTTACAGGTGGTGTGGTTTGAAAACATTTTCTCCCATTCTGTGGGTTGTCTTTTTACTTTGATAATATCGTCTTAAAAGTTCTTTTTCCTTGCCATGTGAAGTAACTGATGTTGTCTTTTGAGTCACAATATTTCAAAATTTTCATAAAGTCTAACTTGTTTATTTTTTCTGTAGTAGCCTGTGCCGTTGTTGTCACATCTAAAGAATCACTGCCAAATCCGATGTTGTGAAGTTTTCCTTTGTGTTTTCTTCTAAGACTTTAATTAAATTTTATTTGTCAATATTTAGGACTGACAAAAGCTTTTTAACATTCCTGGCACCATCTCAGTTATTGATCTACTCCCAAGATGGATCATTTCAATTAAAACATGTAAAGCATGACCTCACCTGAATGTGTTTGAACTTGCTCTTCTCCCTTTCAAATCGACTCCCTCACTTACATAGTTTGTGTTCAAATGTCAACAAATAAAACATAAAAAGAAATCAATCTTTTCATAGACCCTTTATCTAAAATAGAATAGTAGGTGCCATGACATTTCATCCTTTCATCTTGAATTATTTACTTTTCTACATGAAACAATCCATTCTTCTGTGTGCATGTGTGTGTGTGTGTGTGTGTGTAGTTTATCTGTCTACATATAATGTAAACACCAAAAAATAACAGACATTTAGTAATTTTCAAATGAGACTTCAGGAATTAACAATGGCTTGCCATTTTTAGTGTGTTATTATTATTATATTTAGATGAACAGAATTGCCTCAGGAACATGGCCAGGGGCTCATAGTCCAGGAGAACTGTGGCCTGACTCAGGTACATTTTACCTGCAATAACAGCAATTGCAGGTCACTGGAGTCCATCACAATTGGCTGGAGACAAATGTAAGACAAGAATATTTGCAGTTTCCCCAGACTGACACAGTTGCAGGTTCCCCGAAGTAATGAGTCCTGAGACACCTCCAACAAGAGCTAGAAAAGGTATCACTTCAAGAGGAGTTGCAGCCTACTCATTTTAGACAAATGGAGCAAAATTACAGTATCACATCTTTTCCTTTCTCCTTCATAGAATCTGGATGAACAGAACAGAAAGAGTTAATGGAATATAAGATTCCAATTCTCTGGCATGAGAAAATAGACAAGGAAAGGAAGATTCATCTTCATCACATCTCAGACATGCTTGGACACAGGGTCCAAGCACAAAAGAGAAACACATACTTCTTCCCATCCACACTGGGATCCAGGGTCTTCTCCCTCCTGTCAGGCCAGAACTGAGTCTCCACTCCCCAATTTAGTTCCCAGAGATGAAGCCCAATTTTCCTCTGTCTCAAGCTTTGAAGGCCAGTTTTAGCGTGTTCACCATGGATGAATGAAGGTGAGGTCAGAGGTTTGGGAAATGGTCAAGAATGAGGTGAGAAGAGAGCTGTGGAGGCATGGCCCCGGGGAGCTTGGTACCCCCCCATATCCAGAGCCTGTCTGGTCCAGGAGAGTTCCCAACCCTGTGAGCACCAACTCCGGATATTCTGGGCAGTGACCCGAGGGACAGCCTCTTATGAATACAGGCTGTTTTCCTCCAGTGTCTGCTGTGAAACCAGGATGTACAACATGGCCGTGTTCAACCCAACAATGGACTTAGGATTTTGCTGTACGCCAAAACTCAGTGTCCAACTTCCACTCTGTTTAGCTGGAAAAAGAAGGGGTTTGTTCCCATACATCTCACTCCTGTGTTCCTCTTTCAGTCTCAAAGCTCAGATGAAAACAATGAGTGTCACTTATTGTCAATCCTCTTCCCTGCCTTTTCCACACTCATCAGTATTACCGTTTACATTGAGACTAAAGATGGCCAATCACCACTTTTCTTCGGAAAAATCAACCTGATGTTGTACCTACTTTTTTAGAGGTGGAATCAACCTACCCTAAGATGCCAACTACATTTTACTGAATGGACTTTTGTGGATCCCCTCGATGTATATAGTGGCACCTTGAGGTATCATCCCTGTCTTTAGCAAATGAATATTATCCCAAGGACAATATTTCATCACAATTATTCGGGATGGACGAGTGGATATTGTGGTAGCAAGAACATTACTAAAAGTCACAGCTGATACAACACACTTGAAACCCATCTGGCCAATCTCCCACAGACAGAATGTCGCGCCATTCACTCCAGCCAGCTTCAGTCATGTTTCTTCCATTTCCACCTGTGGCCCCTCATGTCTCCACCAGGTCTTAGCCAGCATTGCCAAAAGAGCCAGGAAGACCAGACCAGCCACAACAATCCTGATGGAACTCTCCACAGTATAGTTCTGGAGAACAGGGGCTGGAGGGTGGGGGTAAGATCAGAGACCTTTCCATGTGGGCCAGGCCCCTCTCTCCCCAGAAGCTCTGAAATGGAGCTATTTCCCCATCTCACCTTCATAAAATTCTTCCTGTCCAGAACCCCTCTTCTCCCTATATCATCATGAGCACCTTCAGAAGTCTTTTGCCACAAAAAGAAATTTCTTTTGAAGATATACATTTTTTTGTACATTTCAAAAATGTTCCCAAACTAATTCTCCAAAGCAATAAATGTTTGTGTGTATTGCTGGGTAGGTTATGTATACAAGGAAAGGAAGCATAGTGAGTCTGATTTGGCAGAGGAAACATATGTGGAAATTATATCATTTACTCTCTTTACAAAATTAAGTACAAAATTGAAAACACTGGTAAGAAAGAATGAGCTATAGAGAAAGAAAACATCTGAGATGCTTGTTTCCAAGATGGCTGACTAAATGCTTTTCTGGCATGTCTCATCCACTTAGAAGAACGAGCAGAATCCAGAACAAAAACCATATGATCATCTCAATAGACATAAAGAAAAGCATCTGAAAAGAAATTCAACATCCTTACCTGATGAAAACCCTCAAAAACTTAGGCATAGAAAGAACATACCTCAAAATAATAAAAGCCATAGATGACATATCTAGAGTCAACATCATACTGAACAGGAAAAGTTAAAAGCACTCCTCTGAGAACTGGCACAAGACAAGGACACGGACATCCACCACTTCCTATCAACATAGTACTGGAAGCCTTGTCAGAGCTATTGGGCAACAGGAAGAATTAAAAATCCAAATTAGAAAAGAGGAAGTAAAATTATTTTTATTTCTGATGCTATGATCTTAAATCTAGAAAATCCTAAAGACCCTGCCAAAAATTCTTATGATTGATAAATGAACTAAGTAAAGTTTCAGAATACAAAATCAATATGTAAAAGCCGGTAGCATTTCTCTACACCTATAATGATCTAGCTGAGAACCAAATCAAGAAGGCAATGCCGTTTACAATAGATACGCAAAATTAAAACACTCAGGAATACATTTAACCAAGGTGGTGAAAGATCTGTACCAGGAAAGGTGTAAGACACCAATGAAAGCAATTATAGATAATACAAAAAAAAAAAAAGAAAAAAAATCCCACGCTCATGGATCATAAGAATTAATATTGTTAAAATGACCATACTGCCTAAAGCAATCTACAGATTCAGTGCAATTCTTATATGAAAATAGTAACACCAGTTTTCACAGAATTAGAAAAAGCAATCCTAAAATTCATACAGAACCAAAAAAGATCCTAATAGAGAAAGCAATTCTAGGTGAATGTAGAAACCTGGAGGCATCACGCTATCTGACTTCAAACTATGCTCTAAGGCTATAGTAACTTAAATAGCACAGTGCTGGTATAGACACAGAAACAGAGATCAATAGACCAGAATAGAGAGCCCAGAAATACAGCCTCATATCTACAGTGAATAATCATTGACGACGTTAACAAAACATACACTGGAGAAAGATTTCCTTTTCAATAAAAGGTGCTGGGAAAACTAAATAGCCATATGCAGAAGAATAAAACTGGACCTGTATCTGTAATCATACACATAAATTAACTTAAGGTAATTAGCAGCTTAAATGTAAATCCAGAACTATAAAATCACCGGTGGAAACCCAAAGAGAAACTCTTCTGGGCATTGGTCTGGGCAAAGAATTCATCACTAAGACCTCAAAAGCACAGGCAATAAAAATAAAACTAGACCAATGGGACTTAATAAACGAAAGAGCTTCTGCCAAGCAAAGGAAATAGTAGCAGGGTGAACAGACAACCCACAGAATGAATGGAAATGTTTGCAAACTATGCACCCAACAGAGGACTAACATCCAGAATTTCTAGGCAACTCAAACAACTAAACATAACCCCTCAAATAATAGCATTAAAAAGTGGGCAAAGGGATATACATAGACATTTTTCAAAAGAAGACATACGAATGGCCAAACAGCGTATGAACATCACTAATCATCAGAGAAATGCAAATTGAAACCACAATGAGATATCATCTTACAGTAGTCAGAATGGCTATTACTAAAAATGCTGGTGGGGAGTGGTGGCTCACGCTTGTAATCCCAGCACTTTGGGAAGCTGAGGCGGGTGGATCATGAGGTCAGGAGTTTGAGACCAGCCTGACCAACATAGTGAAACCCCATCTCTACTAAATATACAAAAGATTAGCTGGGCATGGTGGTGTGGTTCTGTAATCCCAGCTACTCAGGAGGCTGAGGCAGGAGAATCATTTGAACCTGGTTGGTGGAGGTTGCAGCGCGTGGAGATGGCGGCACTGCACTCCAGCCTGGGTGACAGTGGAAGACTCCATCTCAAAAAGAAAAAAAGAAAAAGTGAAACATATAACAGGTGTTGGCAAGGATGCAGAGAAAAGGAAACTCTTATACACTGTTGGCCGGTATGTAAATTAGTATAGCCTCTATGGAAGACAGTATGGAAATTTGGCAGAGAACCAAAAATAGAAGCACCATTCGATCTAGGGGTCCCGCTGCTGGGTATCTACTCAAAAAATACCTGCACCTGTATGTTTATTGCAGCACTGTTTGCAATAGCAAAGATATGAAATCAATCTAAGTGTCTGTGAATGAATGATTGGATTAAAAAAAGGATGCGTGTATACACAACGAAATACTATTTGGTCATAAAAATAAAACCATGTCTTTTGCAGCAACATAGATGGAGCTGGACGCCATTATTTTACATAAAACCACTCAGAAAGACAAATACCACATCTTCTCACTCTACATGGGAGGGGAGTAATGTGTACATATGGACGTAGAGTGTGGAATGACGGACAGCGGAGGCTAGAAGGCTGGAGGGTGGCGGGACGTGGGTGAGTGATGAGAATTTGCTTAATGAGTACAATGTACGGTATTTGGGTGATGGATATAGTAAAAGTCCTGACTTCACTACTCTGCAACATACTCATGTCACAAAATTACAAGTGTACCTCATAAATTTATACTAATAGAAAAGAAAGTCTGTACACAGTAATCAATTGTGATATGTAGATAAAGTCAATATTAAATTTAAACCAGAATAACTAGTTAAAATGTTGTGTACACAACAGTGAAGAGAGTATTTATCCTCTATGACAGAGGAAACCATCAATATTAATGCACAGAAAAAGCAAATAACTGAAACAAGAAAGAGCAGTTTTGTGACAGGGTAAAAATTGACAACAGTTTTAGAATGCTCCTAACTTGAGTTCCAAAAAGAAAGAACGAGAAAACAGGTCAGAAGCAATCTTTAAAGAGGCAATTGTTGATTATTTGGAGGAAGTAGACACATCCATCAATCCACAGGTTCAAGAAATCCAGTGAATGCCAGGCAGAATGAAGTAAACACACCTCACGTTCAACATTACAGAAAAGCAGCATAAAAGCACAACCAACCCTTAAAATTAGCCAGAGGAAAAGGATCAGCTGGTAAGGATTTATAGGGAGCCAAGCATTGTCTTCCCCACAGAAAAAAGGAAAACATAAGCCAGTAGAATAGCATCTTTACCCAGCTAAGATACCGTCGCCAGCCACCGACAATTCCTTACATAGTACAGTTACTGTCCAAGATCAACGCAGGAAAGAAACAGAACTGAAAGACAAAAGGGCAAAGAAAGCTTTTCTCACTGACCCTAAAGGAAATTCTGATGACCGTGCCTCAAAGATAAAGAAAGTGAAACCAGATGGGGTGTCGAAGATTCTGACAATAACTAAGAGCAGAGGAAGAACTAAAAATATGGCTATGCCAAAAATGAATATGGACCATACGATAGTGTATGAAAACACGCCCCTGTGTAATTTCTGAAAAAGATAGAATTATGTATACCACAAAACAAAACATCATATAAGTAAATACAAACATATGTACTAAATATGCTCTAAAATCCTGTTCTTACACAGGAAGAGTGGAAATATGTTTTTATATTTGCAGTTTAATCTCTGAAATGATTAATTTCAATTTTAAAAATATGTAACAACTTCAGGATGAGTACACCATATATGTATTCCTAAACGACATAGATCAAAAATAGAATGTTTGAAATAGAAAACCACAGAAGTCAGTGGGAAAAAAAGGGAATCAGGAAAACACAACGTAATAATAACAAAAATATGATTGGAAGAACTGCTCAAACATGAACAAAAGATTGTCAGAAAGTCTTACTTTCTAAGGCGAATTGTTTGAAATTTACAAAGGACACATCTCAATGTTAACAATTCATGGAGTTTGAAATTAAACAATGTAGAAATATACCAAGCAATCACTGTTAGAAATGTGGTATAACTATATTAAAATTAGACAAAATTAGTCTTTGGGAAAAATCAGCGGAAAACATTAAGCATAAAATGTAGGAAAAAAGCAGGTAAATTTATAGCATTTTAAATTTACCAGGAATATATAATCAGTTTACACTTAACCACTCCCAGTAATATTCCTGCAAATATACATGGAGGAAGAGTCGCGGAAATAAATGGACAGGTAGGCAAATCCACGGCCACAGTGGGGTGTTTAACACTCCTCTTTTCTCAGTTGTTGATAGAAGTGGTTCAGGCAATTAGAGAGGATTTAGAAAGATAATTGCTGGACCTGACCCAAGGTATAAGTCCACTCCCAACCACAGGACTCACTTTCCTTACAAGCACAAGGGCATTTAGAAATCTCTCTGGATTCTGACCAGCCCTCACCATATGGCAGGTCCATGGACTTCTTGGAACACACCAAGCTCATTCTCACATTAGGGTCATCCCCAATGTCCTAAGTCCATGAAAGTTCCTTTCAACACACTCCCCAGGGCTCACTCCCTCTTGTCTCTAAGATCGGAGTTTAAATGTGATCTCTCTGATGAGGTCTCAGTGAGACGTTCCCTCCTGTACACTCCAAATGACAACGTTCCACGTTCATTCATTTCATTCTGTGCATGGCACTTTCACCAAGTGCTAAGGATTCACTCACTAATTCATACATTCATTCATTCATTCATTCACTCATTCCATCATTCACTCATTCATTCATTCTCTCATTCATTCATTCATGTTCTGCCTCTCTCTCCCACCCCACAGCAATGTGAGCATCATGAACCCAGGAGCTTGGCCGTGCTGTCTACTCCTGGCCGTGAAACAGAGAGAACTGATGGTAGGTGTGAAATAAATATTAGATGAATGAGTTAGTGAAGGGGTCATTTACTGGGTGAGCTCAGTTCTCTCTACTCTAATGCCCTCCCTCGGCTGACTTCCCTGAGTTGCCCCCTCGGCTGAGTGAAGTCCCTTCACTGGCAAATGGAACCTCAACCAGTAGCACCTAGGTGGTCTCATACTTTGTTCTTTCCCTCTCCTCTTGCTCCCTAAGGATTATCAATCTCCATGACAGGGCTGGAGAGCAGACAAGCCACACATTCTTTCTGGGGAGAGAGTAACATGGAGTACAAGGCATTCCACATTTAGGAAGAGAACTCAGTTATGGAAGGTCAGAAATGAAAAGTTCCTACAGACCAACACCCAGGTTGGTGGCCACAGCCCTAAATGCTGATGGAGAATCACTGCAAGTCTGTAGGGAAGATGTCTGGCTTGAGGCCACTGAGCGAAGTGGCAGATCCTTCTCAGCCTTCAGTGCTGAGCCTCTGTCCCCTCAGGGATCCACTGACCAATGAGAAGAGCCTCTTCTCATCTCCTGGGATGGAGCTTGGGGCCCCTGGCGAAGGAATGGGCCTGTTTCCACCTGTCATGTTGTCATCTAGCTTGGAAATCCTGCGAGTCCCAGGGAGGCCCTCCCCGAGTCCCCAGAGAAGACTCCCCCACTGAGTCTCCAAGGTGTGGAGAGAGCAAAAAACATCTAGGGTGGAAAATGCCTCCCATCAAGAGACATTGGGGCTCCCCCAACGATGGTTGCATCTGTGCCCCCCATGTGGAAATCACTCTTTGGTGAGAGGTGGGGGCTTCTGGAAATGGGCAATGGCGGGCGGCCAATGCTACCTCTAGTCTTTCCAATCTGAGCCCGGCCTTTCATGCTCCTGAGTCAGCATTGATGCTGTTTACATGTGTCCCAGGTGGGCTTCTGTACAAAGACTGGGAAGTGGTTTATGTGGCCTGTGCTCTATCTGCAAGCTTCAGGTAGGGTTGCAGTTACCACCCCAAACCCTAATGTGATCTGTCTGCCTCGCTCTGTCTGTCTGTCTATGCCTCTTTCTGTATGTTTGCTTTGTGTCTCTTCTGTCCAGCATCTCTGGCTGACACCCCCATGGCCACCCCCTCCATCTGAGGCTCCCCTGAATGTGGCCATTGTAGTCCATCTGAGTCCCACTATTTGGGGAACAGACTGGTTTCCTCACCTGTGACAGAAACAAGCAGTGGGTCACTAAGGTCTGACCACTCGTAGGGAGAGTCACGGAAAGAGCCGAAGCATCTGTAGGTCCCTCCGTGGGTGGCAGGGCCCAGAGGAAAGTTGGCCTGGAAGGTTCCATTGACCTTGGGCACTGCAGGGAACCTAAGTTCATGAGCCTCCCCCTCCCTTGATAGATGGTAGATGTCATAGGAGCTCCGGGAGCTGCAGGACAAGGTCACGCTCTCTCCTGCCTTAACCATGGGGCGCGGCTGGGCTGAGAGAGAAGGTTTCCCACATAGACCTGGAAGGAGAAGAGGCAGTTTCCTCAGGGAGGTTCTTCCTTGTCACAACTCCCCTCCCACCTGAGCTGAGAACTCACTCCCCTGCTCTATGGCCTAATGCTCTCTCTCTCTGTCTCACCCTCCACACCATCTCTCTTTATGTCTATTTCCTCTTTCCACCTTCTCTGTCTCTCTAGGTCTCTGACCTCACTTTCTCACCTCTAGATATGTTTTCCCTTTTTGGATTGTTTTATTCTCTCTGACTCTCCTTGGACTAGTTGACTTGATGTTACTTTTTTTAAATTCTGAGTTTCTCACTTTGTGTCCTGTTCATAACTTTCTGCATATTTCTATCTATTATCTATCGATATATCTATTTATCTATCTGGTGCCTATCTACAAATTCTCTACCTGTCATCTATATCTATATATAATCTATTTATCTATCAATTGTCTATCCAAAAATCATCTATTATCTATATCTATGTATCATCTCTCTCTCTCTATGATTTCTCTTTGTCTGCCTCTCTATCTCTATGTATTATCTATCTATCTTCATCTTCATCATCTCTATGTATCATCGATTAATCAATGAATGAATCGATCATCATCTATGTATCTATAACCTATTATCTATCATCTACCTATTTATCATCTATCTATATCTATCCATCTATCATCTGTCTTGCTCTGCCTCTCGGTCTCTCTAGTTCTCTTTGGAATCTCTGCAATTCATCCCCACATCTCCATCTTTCTATGTCCTTGTGCCTCTCCCTCAGGACTCTAATTTTAGTGCTTTTCTCTGTTCCCTTCCATTGTTCTCTCCACTTCTCTGCCCTCTTTTCTCCCTCTTTATGTGTCTGTGAGTCTCTCAATCTCCTTCCTCTGGCTCATTCTCTGTGTGTTTATGTCTTTGCTTTTTGGTGTCCCTGATTTCTCTCTGTGTCTCTCAGTGATCCTCTCATATGTGGGGTTATTTGGAATGTGAGCCTCAGAATCCAGTCTGGGGACCGCAAGTTCACACAGTATACAGGGGTTGATGTTCTGGGGCCATGATATCCTGGGACGATTACTCTCCATTGCATGGAAGGCAGAGGTGTCAGAATAAACACGGCATCTGTAGGTGCCAGAAGGCCTGAGGCCACAGGGCCCAACTCAGGCCAGAAATATGGGTGTCCTTGGGTTCTTCTGGTAGAGAACACTTTGTGGAAGTAAAACAGAAATGAAACTTCTAACCTGTGCCAGGTCTCTGAGCAAAGTCAGCATGGAAGGACACCTCTCTCTGGCACATGTCTGTCTGTGTCTCCTTTAACTCTTTCTGTCTTTTCTAACTCCCTGTATGGCCCCTGTGTCTGTCCTCTGTTATGACACCTGGTCTGTACTTGTGTCTCCTGTTTCTCTGTCTCTGTTGGTACAGACCTCACCAAATTAGTCTCTCTCCATAAGAATACCAAGCTCATCTTCCTTATAACCACCTGGGCCTCCAAGTCGTGGATCATTCACTCTGTGTCCCAGTGACAATGAGAATAATGTCCAGACACTCTCACCTGTAATCACGATGTCCAGAGGGTCACTGGGAGCTGACAACTGATAGGGGGAATGAGGAACAGAACCGTAGCATCTGTAGGTCCCTGCAAGGTCTTGCGTCATGCGACCGATGGAGAAGTTGGCCTTGGAGACCCCATCATGGAGCTCTCCAGTGAGGCGCAAAGTGTCATTAAACTTCCCCTCTCTGTGCAGAAGGAAGTGCTCAAACATGACATCTGACCAACATTGCAGGATGACTGTCTCTTCTGATTTCACCAGGGGACCTGGGTGGGCCAGGAGGGAAGGTTTTCTGTGGACTCCTAGGAAGAGAGGTTGTGACTTTAGAAGGCATCTCTCTTTATCATCCCATCCATGGCACCTAGAATGAGTGAGGCTTCCCCTCGCTGGTGTCTTATCTCTCTCCTTCCTCTCTGTGTCTTCATGTTCTTTTCTGTGCCCATAACTCCTGGTACAGGTCCTTCCATCTGTCTCCCTCCCTCTTCTCTGTCCCTCTGTCTCTAGTAGCTCCTGATTCCCTTGCCGCTGGGCTCAGCCTCATCTCTTGGGCTGTTGTATCTATTTCGAACTAATGTCTTTCCTGCTTCTATGTGGGGGTGGAAGAGGAACCAGGATAGGCTGCACGTCCAGGCTCTTAGCAGACTGGTTCAATCTCTTTTGGACGAATTGGAATCCTTGGCAGAAGGTATGAACTGATCAGTAAGGCAGGCACCAGTGTCCACACACCCTGTTCCTGGTGGGGACTGGGAGCCACTCTTGCCATGCCTGTGCCTTCTCCATGGTGCCAGCTTCCATAGGCTGGCTTCTGGTGCTGGTTTGAGGAGTATCAACCCCTCCCTATGTGGATGGAGCCTGGTGGTGGCATCATCATCCCACCCTTGCTGATCTCGGTGTAGCCAACCTTCTCTTTGTTTGGTTTCTTTAATTAATTAATTAATTTTGGAGTCAGAGTCTCACTCCTTCACCCAGGCTGGAGTGAAGTGGTGTGGTCTAGGCTCACTGCAACCTCTGTCTCCTGGGTTCAAGTGATTCTCCTGCCCTCAGCCTCCTGAGTTGCTAGGATTACATGCACCTGCCACCACGCCCGGCTATCCTTGTGTCCTTTCTTATCTTGTCCTTGACCTGGGTTCCAGTGTTGGTTTCCTGTTGGTGCTGTAGAAAATTATCAGAAGCATGGCAGCAGGAGAGAGCACACTGACCCCTTCCGTTTCTGGAGACAGAAATCGGACCCTGTTTTTTGAGGGCTAAAATCAAGGCATCTGCAGGGCTGCGTTCCCTCTGGAGACCCAGGAGAATCAGTTCCTTGACTTTTCCAGCCTCTATAGGCCACCTGCATTCATGGCTCATGGCCTTCCTCCACCTTCAAAGCTGATGGAGACTTCCATTGCACTGCTCTAATCGCCACTCCCCTCTTCCTTCTCCTCTCATGTGCACCCTTGTGATTACACTGAGCCCAGCAGGACAGTCCAGGCTGTCTCCCCATCTCAAGGTCAACTCAACAACCTGAGCTCCATCTTCCCCTTCAGTGCCTTCCCCTATAACATAAATAGTCACAGACTGCAGGGATTAGAATGCAGTCATCATTGGGGACAATTATTCTTTCCACCACAGCACCCATTTCCCTGTATTCAATCCCCTTTTACCCCAAATACAGTTAGGGTCTGGATGATGGGACGCTGGTGGACACTCCCACCAGAAGCTCTGGGACTCAGGAGGTGGGACAAGGAGAATCCCAGACAGGAGCCCTCTGACCTGTGACCATGATCACCAGGGGGTTGCTGGGTGCTGACCACCCAGTGAGGAAGTGTGGGTGTGAACCCCGACATCTGTAGGTCCCTGCATGTGCTGGGGTCACAGGGCCTATGAAAACGGTGTTTCGGAATACTCTGTTGTAGAGCTCAGGGACAGGCATCCCGTCTTCTTTGGACAGACTGAATTCGTTAAACCCAAGACGAGAGCGACACTGAAGAGCCACATGTTCTCCTTCAGACACCACAGGGCTGGGCCAGGCAGAGAGGAAGGGCTTGTCCTGACCACCTGGGGGAGAAGGAGGCGCCACCTTAGAGAGGAGGATGTGGAGCCGCCCCTCCCTCCACGTGTCAGAAGATTCTCCCATTTCCACTTTCTAAGGCTCCTACCACACCTGGGTGCCCAGGGCTACAGGAAGGACCCACCCCGCATAGACTTGGCGTCTCTCTACAACAAAAGTGTCAGCTGAGAACTTTGAGCAAGTGCTGAGTAAGGGACTCCTACTAGATTTTAATCCTGCAAGATTACTCACATAAAACAACACAAATAGACATGGAGTCGAGGGCATGTTCTTTGTGAATGGAATATCAGCCAATGTGTGAACCACAATACACAACTGAGCCCCCAACAGAGGATTTGGAAGGTCAGGGCCCTGGCTGGGGTTCCCCCACCTCTGAGGTAGAATGACAGCAGCCACACTGCAGCCCCTACCGTCATGGAAACGCTGGAGGGTGTGAGTTACACCTTTGTCCTCAGAGGCCTGCTGTTCCTAGCACTGCTTTGCTCCCTTCCTCTGCCAGTGACACCACATCCCAGCCGCACAGCCCAGCTTGGAGGACCCCAGTCTACCCTCCCGGGTTCCCACAGAACCTGACTCAGCCAAGGGAAAGGAAGGCTGGGGAGGGCAAGGTCGGAACTGTGGGCTGAGCACCCCAGGGTCTCCTCATCCTTGTTTATAAGAAAATCCCCCACCGGGCTTCCCTCCTGTTTCAGGAAAATCCTCTTATGTGGGGAGATGACACCCTAAGGTTTGGAGAAGGACTCACCCTCATGTGGCCAGGCCCCCTGCAGCAAGAAGAACCCTGGAAAGAAAGATCATGATGGACCATCCATCTGCAGGCAAACCAGGACTCCCTTGCTGCCCCCACTGGGCTGTGAGTCTTGGTAGCCAGGCCCTTGCTGGGCTGAAGGGAAACTCACCCTCAGTGCCAGCCTGCACCCAAGAACAGGGCTGTCGGCTGTGTAGAGACCCAGCCTGCAGGCCCATATCCGCACCCCAGGCCCCTATCCCCACCCCAAGCCCATATCTCCACTCCAGGCCCATATCTCCACTCCAGGCCAATATTTCCACCCTAGACCCATATCTCCAATCCAGGCCCATATCTCCACCCCAAGCCCATATCTCCACACCCAGGCCCATATCTCCATCCTAGGCCCATATGTCCACTCCAGGCCCAGATATCCACCTCTAGGCCCATGTCTCCACCTCCAGGCCCATATCTCCACCTCCAGGCCCATGTCTCCACTCCAGGCCCATATCTCCATCCCAGGCCAATATCTTCACTCCAGGCTCATATCTCCCCTCCAGGTTCCTATCTCCACTCCAGGCCCAGATCTCCACTCCAGGCCCATATCTCCACCTCCAGGCCCATATCTCCACTCCAGACCCAGATCTCCACTTCTAGGCCCATCACTCCATCTCCAGGCCCATATATCCACTCCAGGCCCAGATCTCCACTCCAGGCCCATAACTCCACCTCCAGGCCTATATCTCCACCTCTGGGCCCAGATCTCCATCCCCGCGCTCCCTCCCTCTATTCCTTTCCAGGACTCACCAACACACGCCATGCTGACGACCATGAGCGACATGGTGCTGCCGGTGCAGACAGGCAGCCGCGCCCCAGCTCAGCTCAGCAGCGCACAGGATGTTATTTGGCGCCCTGCCCATGCAGCTTACATGTTGACTACATCATGGGAGGGTGACGTACGCAGGCTCTTTCTACCTTGCATGAGGCCCAGTGGATGCTTGCTCAAGAGCGGAACACGGCTTCCTGGAAATTGTTCTCACTAGAATTGGCACCTCACGTCCTTCACTATGACCAACTCACAACACGTCTCAGATCCAACCTCCCGAACACAAGATGCCTAAAATCTGTGCTAACGTGAAAGACTTTTCATGTATTTTTATCCGAACACGAGATGCCTAAAATCTGTGCTAACATGAAAGACTTTTCATGTATTTTTTTTGTTTTTATCTGAGATTCAAACTCTTCTTCCTGTGTAATATGCAAAGTATCTAATAGGTATTATTAATGTTTTCGGAGTCATTGTGACTAATAAACCATTAGAATTTTTCATGCTTGTATTTCTAGTATTACAGCAGAACCAGCTAAAATGATTTAAATTCCCAGGGAAGGATTATGCAATTATTTACAATCTTAGAATTGTACTTTATCAGCAAAAACCACACCTGTAAATTCTGGAGTTTTGTAGTTTAATCTAAAATTTGTCTCATGACCCAAGATTCCAGAGTCCCAACTCTGGAGTTTGCTCTCTGTCTGTCTCTCTCCCTCCCTCGTTTTAAATTTTACAGAAATATCCAGTAACATAATGCTATAGAAAATCAAGTTTTCCCCAGCACGTTGGGAAGCCGAGGTGGGCGGATCAACTGAGATAAGGAGTTTGAGAGCAGCTTGGCCAATATAGTGAAACCGTGTCTCTGTTAAAAATCCAAAAATTAGCCGTGCCTGGTGGCAGGCACCTGTAACGCCAGCTGCTCAAGAGGCTGAGGCACGAGAATCGCTTGAACCTGGGAGGCGGAGGTTGCAGTGAGCTGAGATTGTGTCACTGCAGTCCAGCCTGGGCGACAGAGCAAGACTCCGCCTCAAGAAAAAAAAAGCAAACAGCCTATAATAACAAATTAGAGGGCTCTGGCTACTAAATTTAAAGGGTTCTATAAGGCTACATAAAGTGCAGCATCATCAAGAGTGTGGACACAGAGAGCCCCTTAGCAGAAACAGTGTCTAAAATACATCCATGTACACACAGTCCCTTTAGAGTTGACAAAGGCTGCCGTGTGGTTTAAGGTGGCATAGAATGTCTTCTCAATAAATAATATTAAACCAATTGGTTACACCTAGGAAAAAATAAATCTAACTCACACTATAAAAACACTTCTTAGTTTTTATCTAGTTGTACATTTTTTATGATTTATATTTAAATTTGAGAAATAAAAGTCATATACGGTCATCCTTCACTATTCGTGGGTGATTGGTTTTGAGATCTCCACTCAGATACCAAAATCTGTAGATGCTCAAGCCTCTTATATGAAATGGCACAGAGTTTGCAAATAACCTATGCACATCCTCCTGTATACATGAAATCATCTCTAGATTACTTATAATTCCTGATACAGCCTACACACAGCTTCATTTGTGTCCATTCAACATAGTTATGCTTTTTGAAACTCTGTGGATACTTTCTCTCAATATTTTTGATTTATACTTGGTTCAATAAACACCTGTAAACCCCGCAGATATGGAGGAGTGACCGTATATTTATATTATGAAAGATGATGTGTTGATATGTGTCCCCATGGAGATGAGACTAACAAGGCCTATGATTCTACAAATGTTTCATTGTGGAATGACTCTGCCAGCTTTCCAGGTCTGCAGAGAGTAAGAGTATCACTTGTTCATATGATTCGTGATCCTTGGAACCTCCTATGTGCTACATCTTTGGATGGAAATTGGAGTCTCAGAGACAAATGAGGCTCCACCCTGCTTCCAGAAACTCAGAGTCCGGGGATGAGAACTCAGTGGGGAACAGATGGGATTATATGGACATGGTACTGATAACACCGGAAGCCTTAGGCAAGAAAAGAGTCCCATTACCGAAACCATGGGGGCAGACATGTTTATTTGAAGGATGGAAAACTACATTGAAGTTATTTTAAAAAATATATAAGTTTTACTGCTGACAGAAGACTGAAAGCTAGTCTGAGGGGAGGTGGAACAGCATGAGGGAAGGTGGAACAACACGTGTCTAAGTGCTGCGTTAAGAGGGAGCCTCTTGTATGTTTGGAATTGTGAGTTCCTCAGTGTGATTGCAGCCTCAAGTAGACTAGGAAGTAAGCCAGTTAGGTTGGAGAGGTGGGCAGGGGTCAAGTGAAATGGAGAACTGTGGGCTAAGCAAAGGAGTGTGTTTTTTCTCCAGCAGGCAGTGGGGACCTTAGACATTTGTAAGCAAGTGAGAGGCACATTCAGATTTGTGGTGTGAGGAAGAGCGATGCCCTAAGATGCAGACTCATGCCTTCAGATTCCAGCTGCTGGTACATGGGAGCTGGCAACCCGGTTTTGAGACAGGGCTGTTGTCTCCCTAGAAGACGCCCTCAAGGCCTGACTGTGGTGCTCATGGGCAGGAGACAACTTTGGATCTGGACTCAGCATTTGGAAGTTCCGTGTACACGATGATATCTGTTGGGGGTGTCTTGGGCCTCTGAGAAGGGCGAGTGATTTTTCTCTGTGTGAAAACGCAGTGATTCAACTGTGTGTATGTCACCTCCTGAGGGTCTTGTTCATCAGAGTCCTGGAGAGAGGGAAATGCTGAGTGAGGGAGGGTGCTCACATTTTCCAGGACTCTTTGGGAATAACAGTAGCCACGAGCCCGGGCCGAGGAGTACCTACCTCGCTATTCGCTGTTCTGTTCCCTGCAGACTCTTGGTCCATTACCGCAGCATCTGTAGGAGACGGAAGTCAACAAAACAGCTCGGAGGGCACTTCTGGGTCCTCATTTCATAAGCAGATACCAACATACAGGGGGAGACCATAGGTGGCTGAGGTCCCTCAGTTGCCAACAGCAGACTCAGACATTCTATCTCTCTGAGCTCAAGGACCCATCCCATGAATAGCTCTGAGTTCCCATCCCATTGATTCTGTCTCCCACTTTCTGCCTGTCATGGAACCTTCTCCTGGATGTGAGTGGCTGCAGGGGACATGAGGATACAGTTCAGAATCAGGCAACGGTCTGTGAGTTGAAGGCAGGGGCAGGGAGTCTGGTGCCCTCTCTAGAAAGTCCTGCCTCTGTGGCTGCTGCCTTGGGCCAGGGACCATCCTGTTTGTGAGGAACACACACCTGAGTGCTCCCATCCTGCTTCCCCACATGGCCCTGAGCTCTCTGGCCTCTGCTTCGTGAGACTTACTTTTTTTGTTGGAGCACCAGCGATGAAGGAGAAAGAAGAGGAGGATGAAGAGGATGATGACCACTGAGGTCCCAATCAGAATGTGCAGGTGTCGGGGGTTACCTGGAAGAAGATGAGACACCAATAAGAAGCTAATCTTAGCAGTTCCTCTTTATGAATTGTCTCGCATTTCTTGATTGACAGGTAACCACATAAAACATCTCTTTAGGACAAGCACCCAGATGGCAGGAGACCCAGCTTTCTCCTGCTTTTTCAGTTATAGCTCTCATAGTAACCATAGAACGTGCTGAGGATACGACTACTTTAGTTGAGATGTTTGACCCCTTCAAACCTCACATTGAAATTTCACCCCCACTGTGGGAGGTTGGGCCTCTTGAGAGGTGTTTGGGTCATGGAGGTGGATCCATCATGAACACATCAATGCTGTCCCAAGGAGACGGGGTTAGCAAGTTCCCCCTCTATTAGTTCCCGGAGAGCTGGTTGTTAAAAAGAGCTTGGAAGCTCCATCACTCCCCCTCCCCCTTGCTCCCTCTCTTGCCGTGTGATCTCTGTGGTCTCTGCACAGACAGACCCTCCTTCCCTTCTGCCAGAGTGGGAGCAGCCTGAGGCCGTCACGAGAAATAGATGCTGGTGCCATGCTTCCAGTACAGCCTGCAGAACGGTGAGGCAAACCAATCTCTTTTCTTTAGAAGTTACCGAGGCTCAAGTGTTCCTTTAGAGCAACAAAAATGGCCTAAGACAGCAACTTCCTGAGATCAGGAGGAACGTCTCAGAACACCCTGGGCTGTCTTCCTGTTCTTCCTGGAGGACGTCATGCAGTGCTTTAGCTGAGTGCTTCCTGTGGCTCCAGGGTACAAAACCCAGGCTGGGCTGCTTTCTGGCTTCCCGCAGCTACACTGCAAATGGGGTGACTCCATATGTCCCGAGGAGCTTTTCTGAGCCTTGAGGGACTGGCTCACATTGAAATATAGGTTTCTGTTGTCACTCGCTGCTTATCTGTTAGTAATGAACCTGCCTATGTAACGTATTCTCTGTGTGTTCTGTCTCCCTGGAGTGACGGTGAGTGATAGGAATTGGCATAGGCCCAGGTGCAGTCCAGGAGGTGTTTAGAGTCTTCTCTGGGAAGACTGGACTGGGATTGATTCACAGCGAATGTGCTTTAGGGTTTCTACATCCACAGCATTCTTGAATCAAACAACTTGCATTCTCCAAGGAAAGAAAACAAAAGTGAAATCAAGATAAAAAAAGCGAAATAGAATTCTCTTATGTCAAACGGCCAGGAAATAGTGTTGAAGCCCGTGTGAAACCTGCTGCTCTTTGTGATCTCGGGAGACACATATTAGGCTGCTGTTCTACCCGAGAGGCTGGGGGAAGGACCACCCCCTCGGCCATCTATTGCTTCAATACCACCTGTCCTCCTGTGAATTAGTAGGAAAGGGGAGCAGGAGCTAGTGCTGTCGCTGATCTCTGATTCCAAGATCTGGACTCACTCCAAGGAGTGTTAATGTTTACCTCCCCATGGTCTACCTGAATCTCCACAGGTGATTGGAAGTAGGGGTGAGGTGGGGGATTTGGGTGAGTGGGCAAGTTTTTTTTGTGATGACCAGAGCACTTTCTCTATTCCAGGATCTGTGCTGGAGGATTCAGCGGACTTTCACATTTTCTATATGATCTCATGCTCACAGAAAGCCAAATAGGGAAGAGGTTTTAGGCTCATTGCCTAATGGATAAGATAAAGGATCAAAGAAGTAATTATAGAGAAATAGAAAAATCATGATTGGAATTCAGGTCCCTTTGTCATTTGCGTGTGTTATATTATATTTATATTTATGCATTTCTTATTTTTATTTTTTGAGACGGAGTCTCCTTGTGCCACCCAGGCTGGAGTGCAGTGATGCAACCTCCACTCACTGCAACCTCCACCTCCTGGGTTGAAGTCATTCTCCTGCTTCATCCTCCAGAGTAGGAGCTGGGATTACAGGGATGCACCACCATGCTCGGCTAATTTTTGTGTTTTTCCTAGAGACAGGGTTTCACCATGTTGGCCAGGCTGGTCTCGAACTGCTGACTTCATGTGATCCACCCGCCTT
Source organism: Homo sapiens (assembly GCF_000001405.40). Classification (NCBI taxonomy): domain Eukaryota; kingdom Metazoa; phylum Chordata; class Mammalia; order Primates; family Hominidae; genus Homo; species Homo sapiens. Next base: position 56,826 of record NT_187677.1, on the reverse strand, counting down.
GGCCTCCTGCAGTGCTGGGTTACAGGCGTGAGCCACCGTTCACAGACTTGTATATTATGCTATAATAGGTCTCTTCATTTCCACCACCCCTCATATATCTGTCACTCCTTTGCCAGGTATTGATTTATGTGTAGGATGAATAAATCTCAGAAAGAAATTAATTAAGCGAGGATTAAACAAGTAGGAAAATCAAACCCAGCAAGCCTTTCCAGTCAATGATTCTACCTCACAAACCTATCTTATATCCATCTACTTCATTCATTTAGTGTCTAAATCAGCACCACATTTCACCAGTGGGGCGGCAATTGCCTTTTCCACGGTCTCCTAGATTCCAGTTATGCAACTGAGCCTCCCTTATTTTCATGTCAGTCATATTAATCATGTAGGGATTCCTGGCTACCCCGAGGTGAATCCAATGGCTGTGAGTGTCAAACACACACTCCTTGTTCCTCCTTAGTTTCCTGTGTACCCAGTGTGCTCTCCGTCTCTCCACAGTCATCTTGTCATTCTCCCCACATCATTCCCAGCATTTGAGGAAGAGCCTCTTCCTTCCACATCAGATTGTTTTCACCTTTGTGCCTTCACGGCTGACAGCTGTGTGTACAAAATCCTTCCGCCAATCTTTCAGGGGTTCAATCCGTGTTTTTCATTAATGTCACAAATATCTGAATAGTGAGACCTTCTTTGTCACCTGAAATCATACACTCAGCATTATCTATTATTGATTTTGAATTCTGGCTGGGCACAGTGGCTCACGCCTGTAGTCCCATTACTTTGGCATGCTGAGACGGTCGGATCACTTGAGGTTGGGAGTTTCAGACAAGCTTGGCCAACGTGGTGAAACATCCTCTCTACAAAAAATATACAAAAAGAATTAGCCGGGCACGGTGGCAGTTGCCTGTAATCCCAGCTACTCGAGAGGCGGAGGCAGGAGAATCACTTGAATCCAGGAGAAGCAGGTTGCAGTGAGCCAAGATCGTGACACTGCACTGTAGCCTGGAAGACAGAGGGCAACTCTGTCTCAATAAACAAAAGAACAAACAAAAAATAGATTTCATGCACAGATGCTTCCCAATGGATCATTCATTTATAGATCCACTTGTGCATTCATTTTCTGCCCTCCCATTTAACCATCTGCAATATCAGTGTCCCAAGGGCAGAGGCCAAATGCATCTTGTTCACTGTTTGTGGAAGGCAGGAGAATGCTGTCCCACCCCAAAATGTCCCTGTCCTAGCCTCCATACCTTGTGAATATGTTATTTTACATGGAAAGGAGGAATGAAGATTGTAGATGGAATTACGGTTGCTAATCAGCTGAACTTAAAACAAGGGTATCCTGGATGATTTCCAGGAGATTATGAGGGATTTTCATCTTGGTGAACCCAATAGAATCCCCAAGTTTTCAAAAGATAAGGAAGAAGGGAGAGCAGCATTCAGAGAAAGAGGTGTGGTAAGGAAGAAGGCACTGAGTGATGCCATGTGAGATGTGACCAGTCTTTGTGGGTTTTGAGGAAGGAGGAAGGGGACCAGGAGCCAAGGAACTGGGAGCCTTTAGAAGCTGGGACAAGTGAGAAGCAGATTCTTGCCTGGAATCCTCAGAGGGAAGGCAGCCTTGCTGTCACCTTGATTTTAGCCCAGTAAGATGCACTTCCTACTTTGAGCTACAGCACTGTAAGATAATTAAAAAACCGTTTTGTTTTCACCCACGAATCTTGTGGAAATTTGTTATGGCAACAATAGGAAAAGGTTCCGCACTGCACAGCCTGAGCATGGGGCCGTGGCTGAATGAGTCAGTGAGTCGAAGTGTGCGTGCATGAGCTCCGTTCTCTGTTACGGCAAGGCTGTTGCTCTGCTGAGTCAGCCAGGGTTGCTTCATGACCAACAGTAATTCATTCCTTGGCAAGTGGAACTTCTCTAAAACACCTCGCCCTCATCAGATGTTCCCTTCCCTTCCCTCTCTCAAGCCCCCAGGAATTTATCCTCCAGTTAGGAATGCAGGCAGAACAAACATTGCATTTTTCCTGAGAAGGATGTCAGATTGGCAATCATTCTTCTAGCTTGTAGGAGGTCTCAGCTCCATAAAATGAGAGATTAAGAGATTTCACTGAGCCCTAGGTTGGGCCCAGATCCCTTTCGCTGTTGGAGTATCTGGAGTTCGGAGATGGTAGAAGACAGGCGTACAATGTCAGAGCTGCGAGATGCTGAGTCAATGCCTGCATCGAAGGTTTCTACCTCCCCAGGTTTCCAAAAGCGGATATAAGAGGGTTCTGTACTCACCGGTTTTAGAGCTTGGTTCAGTGGGTGAAGGCCAACTATTTGAAGGGTTTCCTAGAACATGAGACAGGAGAGAGGTGAGGAAATGAGGGTGTCTGTCCTCTACTCAATGGAAATCTTTGAGGTTGGTTCATGGCCAACACTCTGTTATCTAATATTGGGCCCTGGGAGTCCTGGGATCCTTTTTTCCATAATTTTTGTATGTGACGCCCATTGTCTTGAGACTTCAAGGTATAAAGAGAAAACAGGAGCATCACACTACCTGATCTCAAAATATGTTACAGAGCTGTAGTAAGCAAGACAGCATGATGTTGGCATGAAGAAAGGCACATAGAACAATGGAGCAGAATGAACAACACAAATATAATCCATGCATTTACATCCAATGTTTTTTTCTTTTTTCTTTTGAGATGGAGTCTCGCTCTGTCACCCAGGCTGGAGTGCAGAGGTGCAATCTCGGTTCACTGCCACCACAGCCTCCTGGGTTCAATCAATTCTCTGGCCTCAAACTCCTGAGTAGTGGTATTATAGGTGCTGACCACCATGCTCAGCTAATTTATATATTTTTAGTGGAGACAATGTTTCATCACGTCGGCCAGACTAATCTTGAACTCCTGGCCTCAGGTGATCCACCCGCCTTGGGCTCCCAAAGTGCTGAAATTGCAGGTGTCAGTCACCATGCCCAGCCCATCCAATGGACTTTGACAAAGGTGCCAAGAACTCACAATCAGGAAAGGACAGTCTTTTCAATAAACAGTGCAGGGAAACCTGGACATCTACATGCAGAGGAATGAAACTGCACCTCTACCTGTCACCATACACAAAAATCAAATGAAAATGGATTAAAGATGTGAGTCTAAGGCCTGAACCTATGAAACACGTAGAAGAAAATATTGGGGAAATGCTCCAGGACATTTGTCTGAAGGAAGACATTTTGTTTTAAACCTTCAAAACACAAGTAATCGAAGCAAAAATAGACCATTGGGATTACCTCAAGCTAAGCAACTTCTGCACCGCTAAAAATAAACCAACAAAGTGAAGAGACAACCCACAGATTGGGAGCAAATATGTGCAAACTATGCATCTGAGATGGGATTAATAACTAGAAATATAAGAAGCTCAAACAACTCAATAAAACAAATGATTTAATTGAAACAGGAGCAAAAGACATGAAATTTCCCCACATACGAAAAACTGCTCAGTATCACTCATCATCAGAGAAACGCAAATTAAAATCAAAGTGAGTTTTCATCTCACCCCATTAAAATGGCTTTTAGGCCGGGCGTGGTGGCTCACGTCTGTCATCCTAGATCTTTGAGAGCCTGAGGTGGGTGAATCTCATAAGGTCGGGAGTTTGAGACCAGTCTGACCCACATGGAGAAACACTGTCTCTACTAAAAATACAAAAATTAGTCGGGCGTGGTGGCGTGTGCCTGTAATTCCAGCTACTCGGGAGGCTGAGGCAGGAGAATCGCTTGAACCTGGGAGGTGGAGGTTGTGGTGAGCCGAGATCGCACCACTGCACTCCAGCCTGGGTGACAAGAGCGAAACTCCATCTCAAAATAAAATGAAATAAAGTAAAATGGCTTTTAGCTGCAAGACAGGCAAAGGAAATCCTGCCAAAGTGGTAGAGAAAGGAGAACCCTAATACCCTGTTGGTAGGAGTGTAAATTAGTACAGCCTTTACGGAGAAAAGTGTGGAAGTCCTTTAAAGAACTAAAAAGAGGTTGGGTGAGGTGGATCATGCCTGTAATCCCGGCACTTTGGGAGACCGAGGCGGACACCTCAGTTGAGGTCATGAGTTTGAGAGCAGCCCAGCCAACATGGGGAAACCCCATCTATACTAAAAAAACCAAAAAGTAGCCAGGCATGGTGGCGTGCACCTGTAATCCCAGCTACTAGGGAGGCTGAGGTAGGAAAATCATTTGAACCCAGGAGGCAGAGGTTGCAATGAGCCAAGATGACATCACTTGTACTCCAGCCTGGGCACAGAGGGAAACTGTCTCAAAAACAAAAACAAAACAACAAACGAATAACTAAAAAGAGAACTTTCATAGTATCCAGCAATTTCACTACTGGGTTTATATCCAAAGGAAAGTAAATCAATATATCGAAGTGATATCTGCACTCGTATGATTGGTGCAGCACTGTTCACAGTAGCCAAGATGTGGAGTCAACCTACCTGCCCATCAGTGGATGAATGGATAGAGAGAATGTAGTACATACGCACAGTGGAGACTACTCATCCATAGAAAGAATAACATCCTGATATTTGCAGCCACATGGATGGAACTGGAAGTCATTACAAAGATTCCCATTTCTCACCCATATACAGAGCTAAAAGGTGGATCTCATGAAGGTAGAGAGTAGAATGGTGGCTTCCAGAGGCCAGGAAGAAAAGGGTGGAGGGTAAAAAAAAAAAATATATATATATATATATATATATATATATATATATATATATATACACATATATATATGTATATATATGTGTGTGTATATATATATATATATATATATATATATATATATATTTATAAATGTATTTATGACCACTAGACTTTACACTTAAAAATGGTAAATGTGGCTGGGAGTGGTGGCTCATGCCTGTAATCCCAGCACTTTGGGAGGCAGATGCGGGTGGATCACGTGGTCAGGAGTTGGAGACCAGCTCGACCAACATGGTGAAACCACCTCTCTACTAAAAATACAAAAAGTAGCCTGGCGTGGTGGTGCGCGCCTGTAGCACCAGCTACTCAGGTGGCTGAGGCAGGAGAATCACTTGAACCCAGGAGGCGGAAGTTGCAGTGAGCTGAGATTGTGCCACTGCACTGCAGCATAGGGGACAGAGCTAGACTCTGCCTCAAAAAAAAAAAAAATGTTAAAGGTGGTAAGCTATATAGGTATATTTATCCTCAATAAATATTTCTTCAAACAAAAGTAAAGGGTGTAGGGGTTGCTGGTGATGACATCCCTGTGTGGGTGAGAGGCCAGGATGGGCTTCTGGGAAATGGGTAATGTTGAGGGGCTGAGGGAACCTCTGATCTTCCCAAACTGAGCCCAGTCTCCCTCCTCTGGGTCTCTCCTGACCGCTTTCTCCATCTGCCTGTGTGCCTGGAGCCCTGGCCGCGGGCCTTCATGCAGGCCGTGTAGGAGGGTTTGGAGGTGCCCTGTCTGCCATCCTGTGCCCTGATCCCTCCCTCACACCCAAGCTTCGTCTTCTCTCTGCATCTGTCCATGCTTATCTCCATCATCAGCAGGAAGCTCCTCAGCTAAGGCTCTAGGATCATAGGACATGAGACAGATATGGGGTTTCCTCACCTGTGACAGAAACAAGCAGTGGGTCACTCGAGTTTGACCACTCGTATGGAGAGTCACGGAAAGAGCCGAAGCATCTGTAGGTTCCTCCGTGGGTGGCAGGGCCCAGAGGAAAGTCGGCCTGGAATGTTCCGTTGACCTTGGGCCCTGCAGAGAACCTACATTCATGGGCCTCCCCCTCCCTGGATAGATGGTACATGTCATAGGAGCTCCGGGAGCTGCAGGACAAGGTCACGCTCTCTCCTGCCAGAACCGTGGGGCCCGGCTGGGCTGAGAGAGAAGGTTTCTCATATAGACCTGGAAGGAGAAGAGGCATTTTCCTCAGGGAGGATCTTCCTTGTCACAGCTCCCTTCACCTGAGCTGAGAACTCACTCCCCTGCTCTATGACCTAATGCTCTCTCTCTCTCTCTCTCACCCTCCACCCCATCTCTCTTCATGTCTATTTCCTTCTTCCACCTTCTCTGTCTCTCTAGGTCTCTGACCTCGCTTCCCCACCTCTAGATATGTTTTCCGTTTTTGGATTGTTTTATTCTCTCTGACTCTCCTTGGATTGGTTGACTTGATGTTACTTTTTTAAATTCTAAGTTTCTCACGTTGTGTCCTGTTCATAACTTTCTGCATATTTCTATCTATTATCTGTCGATCTATCTATTTATCTATTCGGTGCCTATCTACAAATTCTCTACCTGTCATCTATATCTATATATCATCTATGTATCTATCAGTTGTCTATCTATCCATCAATCATCTGTTATTTATATGTATGTATCATCTCTCTCTCTATGATTTCTGTCTGCCTCTCTATCTGTACGTATTATCTGTCTTCATCATCATCATCTCTATGTATTATCTATTAATGAATCAATCAATCATCATCTATGTATCTTTAACCTATTATCTATCATCTACCTATTTATCATCTATCTATATCTATCCATCTATCATCTGTATTGCTCTGCCTCTCGGTCTCTCTAGCTCTCTTTGGAATCTCTGCAATTCATCCCCACATCTCCATGTTTCTATGTCCTTGTGCCTCTCTCTCAGGACTCTAATTTTAGTGCTTTTCTCTGCTCCCTGCCATCATTCTCACCACTCCTCTGCCCTCTTTTCTCTCTCTTTATGTGTCTGTGAGTCTCTCAATCTCCTTCCTCTGGCTCATTCTCCGTGTGTTTATGTCTTTGCTTTTTGGTGTTCCTGATTTTTCTCTGTGCCTCTCAGTGATCCTTTCATATGTGGGGTTATTTGGAATGTGAGCCTCAGAATCCAGTCTGGAGACCACAAGTTCACACAGCATACAGGGGTTGGTGTTCTGGGGCCATGATATCCTGGGACGGTTACTCTCCATTACATGGAAGGCAGAGGTGTCAGAATAAACATGGCCTGTAGGTGCCACAAGGCCTGAGGCCACAGGGCCCAACTCAGGTCAGAAATATGGGTGTCCTTGGGTTCTCCTGGTAGAGAACACTTTGTGGAGGTAAAACAGAAATGAAACTTCTAACCTGTGCCAGGTCTGTGAGCAAAGTCAGCATGGAGGGACACCTCTCTCTGGGACATGTCTGTCTGTCTGTCTCTTTTAACTCTTTCTGTCTTTTCTAACTCCCTGTATGGCCCCTGTGTCTGTCCTCCGTTATGACACCTGGTCTGTACTTGTGTCTCCTGTTTCTCTGTCTCTGTTGGTACAAACCTCAGCAAGTCAGTCTCTCTCCATAAGAATACCAAGCTCATCTTCCTTACAACTACCTGGGGGTTCCAAGTCGTGGATCATTCACTCTGCAGCCCAATGACAATGAGAATGTCCGGACACTCTCACCTGTGATGACGATGTCCAGAGGGTCACTGGGAGCTGACAACTGATAGGGGGAGTGAGTAACAGAACCGTAGCATCTGTAGGTCCCTGCAAGGTCTTGCATCATGGGACCGATGGAGAAGTTGGCTTTGGAGACCCCATCATGGTGCTCTCCAATGAGGTGCAAAGTGTCCTTAAACTTCCCTTCTCTGTGCAGAAGGAAGTGCTCAAACCTGACATCTGACCAACATTGCAGGATGACTGTCTCTTCTGATTTCACCAGGCGACCTGGGTGGGCCAGGAGGGAAGGTTTTCTGTGGACTCCTAGGAAGAGAGGTTGTGAGTTTAGAAGGTGTCTCTCTTTATCATCCCATCCATGGCACCTAGAATGAGTGAGGCTTCCCCTTGCTGGTGTCTGTCTCTCTCCTTCCTCTCTGTGTCTTCATGTTCTTTTCTGTGCCCTTAACTCCTGGTGCAGGTCCTTCCATCTGTCTCCCTCCCTCTTCTCTGTCCCTCTGTCTCTAGTAGCCTCTGATTCCCTTCCCACTGGGCTTAGCCTCATCTCTTGGGGTGTTGTATCTATTTCACACTAATGTCTTTCCTGCTGTTTATGTGGGGGTGAAAGAGGAACCAGGATAGGCTGCACATCCAGGCTCTTATCAGCCTGGTTCAATCTCTTTTGGATGAATTGCAATCCTTGGCAGAAGATATGAACTGATGAATAAGGCAGGCACCAGTGTCCACACACCCTGTTCCTGGTGGGGACTGGGAGCCACTCTTGCCATGCCTGTGCCTTCTCCATGGTGCCAGCTTCCATAGGCTGGCTCCTGGTGCTGGTTGGAGGAGTATCAACCCCTCCCTATGTGGATGGAGCCTGGTGGTGGCATCATCATCCCACCCTTGCTGATCTCAGGGTAGCCAACCTTCTCCTTCTTTGGTTTCTTTAATTAATTAATTAATTTTGGAGACAGAGTCTCACTCCTTCACCCAGGCTGGAGTGAAGTGGTGTGGTCTAGGCTCACTGCAACCTCTGTTTCCTGGGTTCAAGTGATTCTCCTGCCCTCAGCCTCCTGAGTCGCTAGGATTACATGCACCTGCCACCATGCCTGGCTTTCCTTGGGTTGTTTCTTAACTTGTCCTTGACCTGGGTTCCAGTGTTGGTTTCCTGTTGCTGCTGTACAAAATTATCAGAAGCATGGAAGCAGGAGAGACCACACTGACACCTTCCAGTACTGGAGACAGAAATTGGACCCTATTTTTCCTGGGCTAAAATCAAGGCATCTGCAGGGCTTTGTTCCCTCTGGAGACTCTGGAGAATCAGTTCCTTGACTTTTCCAGCCTCTATAGGCCACCTGCATTCATGGCTCTTGGCCTTCCTCCACCTTCAAAGCTGGTGAAGACTTCCACTGGACTGCTCTAATCCCCACTCCCCTCTTCCTCCTCCTTTCATGTGCACCCTTGTGATTACACTGAGCCCAGTGGGACAGTCCAGGCTGTCTCCCCATGAGCTCCATCTTCCCCTTCAGTCCCTTCCCCTATAACATACATAGTCACAGACTCCAGGGATTAGAATGTAGTCATCACTGGGGACAATTATTCTTCCCACCACAGCACCCATTTCCCTGTATTCAATCCCCCTTTACCACAAATACAGTCAGGGCCTGCGTGATGGGACCCTCAAGGACATGCCCACCAGAAGCTCTGGGATTCAGGAGGTGGGACAAGGAGAATCCAAGACAGGAGCCCTCTGACCTATGACCACGATCACCAGGGGGTTGCTGGGTGCTGACCACCCACTGGGGGAGTGTGTGTGTGAACCCCGACATCTGTATGTCCCTGTTGTGCGGGGGTCACAGGGCCCATGAAAAGGCTGTTCCAGAATATTCTGTTGTAGAGCTCAGGGACAGGCACCCCACCTTCCTTGTACAGACTGAAGTTGTTAAACCCAAGATAAGAGTGACACCGAAGAATGACATGTCCTAGAGGCACCACAAGGCTGGGCCAGGCAGACAGCAAGGGCTTGTCCTGACCACCTTGGGGAGAAGGAGGCGCCGCCTTAGAGAGGAGGATGTGGAACTGCCCCTCCCTCCCTGTGCTCAGAAGATTCTCCTCGCTTTCCACGTTTCTATGGCTACTATCACACCTTGGTGCCCAGGGCTGAAGGAAGGACCCATCCCGCAAAGACATGGTGTCTCCCTACAACAAAAGCCTCAGCTGAGAACTTTGAGCAAGTGCTGAGTAAAGAGACTCCTACTAGATTTTGATACTGTAAGATTACTCACATAAAACAACACAGGGTAGACATGAGGTGGAGGGCATGTCCTTTGTGAATGGATATCAGCGGATGCCTGAACGAAAATAAACAACTGAGCCCCCATCAGAGGATTTGGAATGTCAGGGCCATGGCTGTGGTTTCCCACCTCTTCTGGTAGAATGACAGCAGCCACACTGCAGCCCCTACCATCATGGAAACGCTGAAGTGTGTGAGTAACACCTTTGTCCTCAGAGGATCTGCTGTTCCTACCACTTCCCAACCACACACCCCAGCTTTGAGCACCCCAGTCTAACCCTGGTCCCCACAGAACTTGACTCTGCCAAGGGGTTGAGAGGCCAGGGAGGCGAGGTCAGAAATGTGGGCTGAGCACCCCAGGGTCCTCTCTTCCTAGTTTATGAGAGACTCCCCGACAGGACTTCCCTCCTGTTTCAGGAAAATCCTCTTATGTGGGGAGATGACACCCGAAGGTTTGGAGAAGGACTCACCCTCATGTGGCCAGGCCCCCTGCAGCAAGAAGAACCCTGGAAAGAAAGATCATGATGGACGATCCATCTGCAGGCGAACCAGCCCTCCCTTGCTGCCCCCACTGGGCTGTGAGTCTTGGCAGCCAGGCCCTTCCTGGGCTGAAGTTAAACTCACCCTCAGTGCCTACCTGCACCCAAGAACAGGGCTGTCGGCTGTGCAGAGACCCAGTTTCCAGGCCCATATCCCCACCCCAAGCCCATATCTCCACTCCAGGCTGATATTTCCACCCTAGGCCCATATCGCCAATCCAGGCTCAGATCTCCACCCTAGGCCCCTATCTCCAATCCAGTCCCATATCTCCGCCCCAGGCCCAGAACTCCACCCTAAGCCCATATCTCCACTCCAGGCCCATATCACCTCTCCAGTCCCATATCTCCACACCCAGGCCCATATCTCCTTCCTAGGCCCATATCTCCACTCCAGGCCCAGATATCCACCTCTAGGCCCATAACTCCACTCCTGGCCCATATCTCCACTCCAGGCCCATATCTCTACTGCAGGCCCGTATCTCCACCTCCAGACCCATATCTCCACTCCAGGCCCATATCTCCACCTCCAGGCCCATATCTCCACCTCCAGGCCCATATCTCCACTTCAGGCCCATATCTCCACTCCAGGCCCATATCTCCACTCCAGGCCCCTATCTCTACTGCAGGCCCATATCTCCATCTCCAGGCCCATATCTCCATCTCCAGGCCCATGTCTCCACTACAAGCCCATATCTCTACTGCAGGCCCATATCTCAACCTCCAGGCCCATATCTCCACTCCAGGCCCAGATCTCCACTTCTAGGCCCATCACTCCATCTCTAGGCCCATAACTCCACTTCCAGGCCTATATCTCCAACTCTGGGCCCCGATCTCCATCCCCGCACTCCCTCCCTCGATTCCCTTCCAGGACTCACCAACACACGCCATGCTGACGACCATGAGCGACATGGTGCTGTCTGTGCAGACAGGCGGCCGCGCCCCAGCTCAGCTCAGCAGCGCACAGGATGTTATTTGGCGCCCTGCCCATGCAGTTTACATGTTGACCACATCATGGGAGGGTGACGTACGCAGGCTCTTTCTACCTTGCATGAGGCCCAGTGGGTGCTCGCTCAAGAGCGGAACATGGCTTCCTGGAAATTGTTCTCACTAGAATTGACACCTTGCGTCCTTCACTACGACCAGACTCAAAAGACGTCTCAGATCCAACCTCTCATACACGAGATGATTGAATTCTGTGCTTACATTAAAGATTTTTGATGTATTTTTGTTTTTATCTGAGATTCAAACTCTTCTTCATATGTAATGTGCAAAATGTCTAACAGGTATTATTAACATTATCAGAGTAATTGTGACAAGAAGCCATTCTAATTTTCCTGCTTGAGTTTCTAGTACTAAACCAGAGGCATCAGAATAGCTTGAACCTGGGAGGCGGAGGTTGCAGTGAGCTGAGCTCAAGCCACTGAACTCCAGCTTGGGTGACAGAGGAAGAGTCTGTCTCAAGAAAAAAAAAAAAGCAAACTAAATAACCTATAATAACAAATCAGAGGACTCAGGTTACCAAATTTTAAGGGGTTCTATAAGTTTATATAAAATGCAGCATCCTCATGAGAGGGGATACAGAGAACCACTGGACAGAAAACTGTGTCTAAAATACATCTGTGGATACACAGTCCCTTTATAGTTGACAAAGGCTGCCATGTAGTTTAAGGTGGAATAGAATATTTTCTCAACAAATAACACAGGACCATAGGGTTACACGTAGGAAAAAATAAATCTAAACTTATCCTCACACTATAAAAACACTTCTTATTTTTTATCTTGTTGTTGTAAATTTTTTATGCTTTATTTTTAAGATTGACAAATAAAAATTATATACCATGGTCCTTCACTATACCTGGGTGATTGGTTCCAGGATCCCCATTCAGATACCAAAATCTGCAGATGCTCAAGCCCCTTGCATGAAATGGCATAGTGAAGCTGGGCACCGTGGCTCACGCCCGTAATCCCAGCACTTTGGGAGGCTGAGCTGGGTAGATCACAAGGTCAGGAGTTCAAGACCAGCTGGTCCAACATTCTGAAACCCCGTCTCTACTAAAAATACACACACAAAAAAATTTATCTGTGCATGGTGGCACGTGCCTGTAATCCTAGGGGAGGCTACTGGGGAGGCTGAGGGAAGACAATCGCTTGAACCTGGGAGGCGGAGGTTGCAGTGAGTTGAGATCACGCCACTGCACTCCAGCCTGGGTGAGAGAGTGAGACTGTCTCAAAAAAAAAAAATAGCATAGCAATTGCATAGAACCCATGCACATCCTCCTGTATACATGAAATCATCTCTTGATTACTTATAATTCCTGACACAGCCTACACGCCACTCAATTTGTGTCGATTCAACATAGTTTTTTGCTTCTTGAAACTTCGGGGATTTTTTTCTCAAAATATTTTTGATTTATTGTTGGTTCAATAAACACCTGTAAACCCCACAGATATGGAGGACCGACTGTATATTTATATTATGAAAGATGATATGTTGATATGTGTCCCCGTGGAGATGAGACTAACAAGGCCTATGACTCTACAAATGTTTCATCGTGGAATGACTCTGCCAGCTTTCCAGGTCTGCAGAGAGTAAGAATATCACTTGTTCATGTGATTCACGATCCTTGGAGCCTCCTATGTGCTGTATCTTTGGATGGAAATTGGAGTCTCAGAGACAATTCAGGCTCCATTCTGCTTCCAGAAGCTCAGAGTCCAGGGCTGAGAACCCAATGGAGAACAGATGGGGTTATGTGGACATGGTAATGATAACACCGGAAGCCTTAGGCAAGAGAAGAGTCTCGTTACCGAAACCATGAGGGCAGACATGTTTATTTGAAGGCGGGAAAACTACATTGAAATTATTTAAAAAATTTATAAGTTTTACTGCTGGCAGAAGGCTGAAAGATAGTCTGAAGGGAGGTGGAACAGCACGTGTCTAAGTGCTGTGTTAAGAGGGAGCCTCTTGTATGTTTGGAATTGTGAGTTCCTCAGTGTGATTGCAGCCTCAGGTAGACTAGGAAGTAAGCTAGTTAGGTTGGAGAGGTGGGCAGGGGTCAAGTGAAATGGAGAATTGTGGGCTAAGCAAAGGAGTGTGTTTTCTCTCCAGCAGGCAGTGGGGACCTTAGACATTTGTAAGCAAGAGAGAGGCATGTTCAGATTCGTGGTGTGAGGAAGAGCGATGCCCTAAGATGAAGACTGATGCCTTCAGATTCCAGCTGCTGGTACATGGGAGCTGGCAACCCGGTTTTGAGACAGGGCTGTTGTCTCCCTAGAAGATCCCCTCAAGGCCTGACTGTGGTGCTCGTGGACAGAAGACAACTTTGGATCTGGGCTCAGCATTTGGAAGTTCTATGTACATGCTGGTATCTGTTGGGGGTGTCTTGGGCCTCTCAGAAGGGCGAGTGATTTCTCTCTGTGTGAAAACACAGTGATCCAATTATGCGTATGACACCTCCTGATGGTCTTGTTCATCAGAATCCTGGAGAGAGGGAAATGCTGAGTGAGGGAGGGTGCTCACATTTTTCAGGACTCTTTGGGAATAAGACTAGCCACGAGGCTGGGCCGAGGAGCACCTACCTCGCTGTTCACTGTTCTGTTCCCTGCAGGCTCTTGGTCCATTACAGCAGCATCTGTAGAAGACGGAAGTCAACAAAAGAGCTCGGAGGGCACTTCTGGGTCCTCATTTCATAAGCAGATACCAACAAACAGGGGGAGGCCATAGGTGCCTGAGGTCCCTCAGTTGCCAACAGCAGACTCAGACATTCTATCTCTCTGAGTTCAAGGACCCATCCCATGAATAGCTCTGAGTTCCCATCCCATTGATTCTATCTCCCACTTTCTGCCTGTCATGGAACCTTCTCCTGGATGTGAGTGGCTGCAGGGGACGTGAGGGTACAGTTCAGAATCAGGCAACGGTCTGTGAGCTGAAGGCAGGGGAAGGGAATCTGGTGCTCTCTCTAGAAAGTCCTGCCTCTGTGGCTCCTGTCTTGGGCCAGGGACCATCCTGCTGGTGAGGAACACACACCTGAGTGCTCCCATCCTGCTTCCCCACATGGCCCTGAGCTCTCTGGCCTCTGCTTCGTGAGACTTACTTTTTTTGTTGGAGCACCAGCGATGAAGGAGAAAGAAGAGGAGGATGGTGAAAGGGATTTTGACCACTGAGGTCCCAATCAGAACATGCAGGTGTCTGGGGTTACCTGGAAGAAGAGGAGACACCAATAAGAAGCTAATCATAGCAGTTCCTCTTTATGAATTGTCTCGCATTTCTTGATTGGCAGGTAACCACATACAACGTCTCTTTAGGACAAGCACCCAAATGGCGGGAGACCTAGCTTTCCCCTGCTTTCTCAATTATAGCTCTCATAGTAACCATAGAACGTGCTGAGGATACAACTACTTTAGTTGAGATGTTTGACCCCTTCAAACCTCACATTGAAATTTCACCCCCATTGTGGGAGGTTGGGCCTCTTCAGAGGTGTTTGGGTCATGGAGGTGGATCCATCATGAACAGATCAATGCTGTCCCAAGGAGACGGGGTTAGCAAGTTCCCCCTCTGTTAGTTCCTGGACAGCTGGTTGTTAAAAAGAGCTTGGAAGCTCCATTGCTCCCTCTCCCCCTTACTCTCTCTCTTGCCGTGTGATCTCTGTGGTCTCTGCACAGACAGACCCTCCTTCCCTTCTGCCAGAGTGGGAGCAGCCTGAGGCCATCACGAGAAATAGATTCTGGTGCCATGCTTCCAGTACAGCCTGCAGAACTGTGAGGCAAACCGATCTCTTTTCTTTAGAAGTTACCGAGGCTCAAGTGTTCCTTCAGAGCAACAAAAAAAAAAACTAAGACAGCAACGACCTGAGATCAGGAGGAATGTCTCAGAACAGCCTGGGCTGTCTTCCTGTTCTTCCTGGAGGAAGGCGTCATGCAGTGCTTTAGCTGAGTGCTTCCTGTGGCTCCAGGGTACAAAACCCAGGCTGGGCTGCTTTCTGGCTTCCCCCAGCTACACTGCAAATGGGGTGACTCCATATGTCCCGAGCAGCTTTTCTGAGCCTTGAGGGACTGGCTCACATTGAAATGTAGGCTTCTGTTGTCACTCGCTGCTTATCTGTTAGTAATGAACCTGCCTGTGTAATGTATTCTCTGTGTGTTCTGTCTCCCTGGAGTGACGGTGAGTGATAGGAATTGGCATAGGCCCAGGTGCAGTCCAGGAGGTGTTTAGAGTCTTCTCTGGGAAGACTGCACTGGGATTGATACACAGCGACTGTGCTTTAGGATTTCTACATCCACGGCATTCTTGAGTCAAACAACTTGCATTCTCCAAGAAAAGGAAACAAAAGTGAAATCAAGATAAAAAAAGCGAAGTAGAATTCTCTTATGTCAAATGGCCAGGAAACAGTGTTGAAGCCCATGTGAAACGTGCTACTCTTTGTGATCTCAGGAGACACATGTTAGGTTGCTGTTCTACCCGAGAGGCTGGGGGAAGGACCACCCCCTCGGCCATCTATTGCTTCAATACCACCTGTCCTCCTGTGAATTAGTAGGAAAGGGGAGCAGGAGCTACTGCTGACGCTAATCTCTGATTCCAAGATCTGGACTCACTCCAAGGAGTATTAGAATTTACCTCCCCATGGCCTATCTGAATCTCCACAGATGATTGGAAGTAGGGGTGAGGTGGGGGATTTGGGTGAGAGGGCATGTTTTCTTGTGATGAACAGAGCACTTTGTGTATTCCAGGATCTGTGCTGGAGGATTCAGCGGGCTTTCACATTTTCTATATGATCTCATGCTCACAGAAAGCCAAATAGGGAAGAGGTTTTAGGCTCATTGCCTAATGGATAAGATAAAGGATCAAAGAAGTAATTATAGAGAAATAGAAAAATCATGATTGGAATTCAGGTCCCTTTCTCATTTGCATGTGTTATATTATATTTATATTTATGCATTTCTTATTTTTATTTTTTGAGACGGAGTCTCCTTGTGTCACCCAGGCTGGAGTGCAGTGATGCAATCTCCACTCACTGCAACCTCCACCTCCTGGGTTGAAGTCATTCTCCTGCTTCATCCTCCAGAGTAGGAGCTGGGATTACAGGGATGCACCACCATGCTCGGCTAATTTTTGTGTTTTTCCTAGAGACAGGGTTTCACCATGTTGGCCAGGCTGGTCTCGAACTGCTGACTTCATGTGATCCACCCGCCTTGGCCTCCTGCAGTGCTGGGTTACAGGCGTGAGCCACCGTTCACAGACTTGTATATTATGCTATAATAGGTCCCTTCATTTCCACCACCCCTCATATATCTGTCACTCCTTTGCCAGGTATTGATTTATGTGTAGTAGGAATAAAGCTCAGAAAGAAATTAAGCGAGGATTAGACAACTAGGAAAATCATACCCAGCAAGCCTTTCCAGCCAATGATTCCACCTCACAAGCATAGCTTATATCCATCTGCTTCACCCAGTTAGGGTCTAAATCAGCACCACATTTCACCAGTGGGGCGGGAATTGCCTTTTCCACAGTCTCCTAGATTCCAGTTACGCACCTGGGCCTCCCTTATTTTCATGTCAGTCACTATTAATCATGTAGGGATTCCTGGCTACCCCGAGGTGAATCCAATGGCTGTGAGTGTCAAACACACACTCCTTGTTGCTCCTTAGTTTCCTGTGTACCCAGTGTGCTCTCCGTCTCTCCACAGTCGTCTTGTCATTCTCCCCACCTCATTCCCAGCATTTGAGGCAGAGCCTCTTCCTTCCACATCAGATTGTTTTCAGCTTTCTGCCTTCACGGCTGACAGCTGTGTGTGGAAAATCCTTCCGCCAATCTTTCAGGGGTTCAATCCGTGTTTTTCATTAATGTCACAAATATCTGATTAGTGAGATCTTCTCTGTCACCCAAAATCATACACTCAGCATTATGTATTATTTATTTTAAATTCTGGCTGGGCACAGTGGCTCACGCCAGTTATCCCAGTACTTTAGGATGCTGAGACGGTCGGATCACTTGAGGTTGGGAGTTTCAGAGAAGCTTGGCGAAGATGGTGAAACATCCTCTACAAAAAATATACAAAAAGAATTAGCCGGGCATGGTGGCAGTTGCCTGTAATCCCAGCTACTTGAGAGGCTGACGCAGGAGAATCACTTGGATCCAGAAGGTGCAGGTTGCAGTGAGCCAAGATGGTGACACTGCACTGTAGCCTGGAAGACAGAGGGAGACTCTGTCTCAATAAACAAATGAAGAAACAAACAAATAGATTTCATACACAGATGCTTCCCAATGGATCATTCATTTATTGGTCCACTTGTGCATTCATTTTCTGCCCTCCCATTTAACCATCTGCAATATCAGTGTCCAAAGAGCAGAGGCCAAATGCATCTTGTTCACTGTTTGTGGAAGGCAGGAGAATGCTGTCCCACCCCAAAATGTCCCTGTCCTAGCCTCCATAGCTTGTGAATATCTTATTTTACATGGAAAGGAGGAATGAAGATTGCAGATGGAATTATGGTTGCTAATCAGCTGAACTTAAAACAAGGGTATCCTGAATGATTTCCGGGAGATTATGATGGATTTTCATCTTGGTGAACCCAATAGAATCCCCAAGTTTTCAAAAGATGAGGAAGAAGGGAGAGCAGCATTCAGAGAAAGAGGTGTGGTAAGGAAGAAGGGTCTGAGTGATGCCATGTGAGATGTGACCAGTCTTTGTGGGCTTTGAGGAAGGAGGAAGGGGACCAGGAGCGAAGGAATGTGGGAGCCTCTAGAAGCTGAGAAAAGTGAGAAGCAGATTCTTGCCTGGAATCCTCAGAGGGAAGGCAGCCTTGCTGTCACCTTGATTTTAGCCCAGTGAGATGCACTTCATACTTTGAGCTACAGCACTGTAAGATAATTAAAAAACCGTTTTGTTTTCACCCACGAATCTTGTGGAAATTTGTTATGGCAACAATAGGAAAAGCTTCCACAGTGCACAGCCTGAGCATGGGGCCGTGGCTGAATGAGTCAGTGAGTCGAAGTGTGCGTGCATGAGCTCTGTTCTCTGTTACAGCAAGGCTCTTTCTCTGCTGAGTCAGCCAGGGTTGCTTCATGACCTATAGGAGCTCATTCCTTGGCAAGTGGAACTTCTCTAAAACACCTCGCCCTCATCAGATGTTCCCTTCCCTTCCCTCTCTCAAGTCTCCAGGAATTTATCCTCCAGTTAGGAATGCAGGCAGAACAAACATTGCATTTTTCCTGAGAAGGATGTCAGATTGGCAATCATTCTTCTAGCTTGTAGGAAGTCTCAGCTCCATAAAATGAGAGATGAAGAGATTTCACTGAGCCCTGTGTTGGACCCAGATCCCTTTCGCTGTAGGAGTATCTGGAGTTCGGAGATGGTGGAAGACAGGGGTACAATGTCAGAGCTGTGAGATGCTGAGTCAACGCCTGAATCCAAGGTTTCCACCTCCCCAGGTTTCCAAAAGCGGATATAAGAGGGTTCTGTACTCACCGGTTTTGGAGCTTGGTTCAGTGGGTGAAGGCCAACTATTTGAAGGGTTTCCTAGAACATGAGACAGGAGAGAGGTGAGGAAATGAGGGTGTCTGTCCTCTACTCAGTGGAAATCTTTGAGGATGGTTCATGGCCAACACTCTGTTATCTAATATTGGGCCCTGGGAGTCCTGGGATCCTTTTTTCCATAATTTTTTTATGTGACGCCCACTGTCTTGAGACTTCAAGGTATAAAGAGAAAACAGGAGCATCACACTACCTGATCTCAAAATATGTTACAGAGCTGTAGTAAGCAAAACAGCATGACATTGGCATAAAGAAAGGGACATAGAACAACGGAGCAGAATGAATAACACAGATATATTCCATGCATTTACATCCAATGGTTTTTTATTTTTTCTTTTGAGATGGAGTCTTGCTCTGTCACTCAGGCTGGAGTGCAGAGGTGCAATCTCAGTTCACTGCAACCTCAGCCTCCTGGGTTCAATCATTCTCTTGCCTCAAACTCCTGAGTAGTGGTATTACAGGTGCTGACCACCATGCTCAGCTAATTTTTATATTTTTAGTGGAGACGATGTTTCATCACGTCGTCCAGACTGATCTTGAACTCCTGGCCTCAGGTAATCCACCCGCCTCGGCCTCCCAAAGTGCTGAAATTGCAGGTGTCAGCCACCAAGCCCAGCCCATCCAATGGACTTTGACAAAGGTGCCAAGAACTCACAATCAGGAAAGGACAGTCTTTTCAATAAACAGTGCAGGGAAACCTGGACATCGACATGCAGAGGAATGAAACTGCACCTCTACCTGTCACCATACACAAAAATCAAATGAAAATGGATTAAAGATGTGAGTCTAAGGCCTGAACCTATGAAACACGTAGAACAAAATATTGGGGAAATGCTCCAGGACATTTGTCTGAAGAAAGACATTTTGTTTTAAACCTTGAAAACACAAGTAATCGAAGCAAAAATAGACCATTGGGATTACCTCAAACTAAGCAACTTCTGCACTGCTAAAAATAAACCAACAAAGTGAAGAGACAACCCACAGATTGGGAGCAAATATGTGCAAACTATGCATCTGAGATGGGATTAATAACTAGAAATATAAGAAGCTCAAACAACTCAATAAAACAAATGATTTAATTGAAAAAGGAGCAGAAGACATGAAATTTCCCCACATACTAAAAAGTGCTCAGTATCACTCATCATCAGAGAAACGCAAATTAAAATCAAAGTGAGTTTTCATCTCACCCCATTAAAATGGCTTTTAGGCCGGGCGTGGTGGCTCACGTCTGTCATCCTAGAACTTTGAGAGCCTGAGGTGGGTGAATCTCATAAGGTCAGGAGTTTGAGACCAGTCTGACCCACATAGAGAAACACTGTCTCTACTAAAAATACAAAAATTAGTCGGGCGTGGTGGAGTGTGCCTGTAATTCCAGCTACTCGGGAGGCTGAGGCAGGAGAATCGCTTGAACCTGGGAGGTGGAGGTTGTGGTGAGCCGAGATAGCGCCACTGCACTCCTGCCTGGGTGAGAAGAGCAAAACTCCATCTCAAAATAAAATGAAATAAAATAAAATGGCTTTTAGCTGCAAGACAGGCAAAAGAAATGCTGGCAAGGTGGTAGAGAAAGGAGAACCCTGGTACCCTGTTGGGAGGAGTGTAAATTAGTACAGCGATTACGGAGAAAAGTATGGAAGTCCTTTAAAGAACTAAAAAGAGGTTGGGTGTGGTGGATCAGGCCTGTAATCCCGGCACTTTGGGAGACTGAGGCGGGCATCTCAGTTGAGGTCATGAGTTTGAGAGCAGCCCAGCCAACATGGGGAAACCCCATCTATACTAAAAAAAACAAAAAGTAGCCAGGCATGGTGGCGTGCACCTGTAATCCCAGCTACTAGGGAGGCTGAGGCAGGAAAATCATTTGAACCCAGGAGGCAGAGGTTGCAATGAGCCAAGATGACATCACTTGTACTCCAGCCTGGGCACAGAGGGAAACTGTCTCAAAAACAAAAACAAAACAACAAACGAAAAACTAAAAAGAGAACTTTCATAGTATCCAGCAATTTCACTACTGGGTTTATATCCAAAGGAAAGTAAATCAATATATCGAAGTGATATCTGCACTCGTATGATTGGTGCAGCACTGTTCACAGTAGCCAAGATGTGGAGTCAACCTACCTGCCCATCAGTGGATGAATGGATAGAGAGAATGTAGTACATACGCACAGTGGAGACTACTCATCCATAGAAAGAATAACATCCTGATATTTGCAGCCACATGGATGGAACTGGAAGTCATTACAAAGATTCCCATTTCTCACCCATATACAGAGCTAAAAGGTGGATCTCATGAAGGTAGAGAGTAGAATGATGGCTTCCAGAGGCCAGGAAGAAAAGGGTGGAGGGTAAAAAAAAAAAAAAAAATATATATATATATAAATGTATTTATGACCACTAGACTTTACACTTAAAAATGGTAAATGTGGCTGGGCGTGGTGGCTCATGCCTGTAATCCCAGCACTTTGGGAGGCACATGCGGGTGGATCACGTGGTCAGGAGTTGGAGACCAGCTCGACCAACATGGTGAAACCACCTCTCTACTAAAAATACAAAAAGTAGCCTGGCGTGGTGGTGCGCGCCTGTAGCACCAGCTACTCAGGTGGCTGAGGCAAGAGAATCGCTTGAACCCAGGAGGCGGAAATTGCAGTGAGCTGAGATTGTGCCACTGCACTCCAGCATAGGGGACAGAGCTAGACTCTGCCTCAAAAAAAAAAAAAATGTTAAAGGTGGTAAGCTATATAGGTATATTTATCCTCAATAAATATTTCTTCAAACAAAAGTAAAGGGTGTAGGGGTTGCTGGTGATGACATCCCTGTGTGGGTGAGAGGCCAGGATGGGCTTCTGGGAAATGGATAATGTTGAGGGGCTGAGGGAACCTCTGATCTTCCCAAACTGAGCCCAGTCTCTCTCCTCTGGGTCTCTCCTGACCGTTTTCTCCATCTGCCTGTGTGCCTGGAGCCCTGGCCGCGGGCCTTCATGCAGGCCGTGTAGGAGGGTTTGGAGGTGCCCTGTCTGCCATCCTGTGCCCTGATCCCTCCCTCACACCCAAGCTTCGTCTTCTCTCTGCATCTGTCCATGCTTCTCTCCATCATCAGCAGGAAGCTCCTCAGCTAAGGCTCTAGGATCATAGGACATGAGACAGATATGGGGTTTCCTCACCTGTGACAGAAACAAGCAGTGGGTCACTCGAGTTTGACCACTCATAGGGAGAGTCACGGAAAGAGCCGAAGCATCTGTAGGTTCCTCCGTGGGTGGCAGGGCCCAGAGGAAAGTCGGCCTGGAATGTTCCGTTGACCTTGGGCCCTGCAGAGAACCTACGTTCATGGGCCTCCCCCTCCCTGGATAGATGGTACATGTCATAGGAGCTCCGGGAGCTGCAGGACAAGGTCACGCTCTCTCCTGCCAAAACCGTGGGGCCCGGCTGGGCTGAGAGAGAAGGTTTCTCATATAGACCTGGAAGGAGAAGAGGCATTTTCCTCGGGGAGGATCTTCCTTGTCACAGCTCCCTTCACCTGAGCTGAGAACTCACTCCCCTGCTCTATGACCTAATGCTCTCTCTCTCTCTCTCTCACCCTCCACCCCATCTCTCTTCATGTCTATTTCCTCCTTCCACCTTCTCTGTCTCTCTAGGTCTCTGACCTCGCTTCCCCACCTCTAGATATGTTTTCCCTTTTTGGATTCTTTTATTCTCTCTGACTCTCCTTGGATTGGTTGACTTGATGTTACTTTTTTAAATTCTAAGTTTCTCACGTTGTGTCCTGTTCATAACTTTCTGCATATTTCTATCTATTATCTGTCGATCTATCTATTTATCTATTCGGTGCCTATCTACAAATTCTCTACCTGTCATCTATATCTATATATCATCTATGTATCTATCAGTTGTCTATCTATCCATCAATCATCTGTTATTTATATGTATGTATCATCTCTCTCTCTATGATTTCTGTCTGCCTCTCTATCTGTACGTATTATCTATCTGTCTTCATCATCATCATCTCTATGTATTATCTATTAATGAATCAATCAATCATCATCTATGTATCTTTAACCTATTATCTATCATCTACCTATTTATCATCTATCTATATCTATCCATCTATCATCTGTCTTGCTCTGCCTCTCGGTCTCTCTAGTTCTCTTTGGAATCTCTGCAGTTCATCCCCACATCTCCATCTTTCTATGTCCTTGTGCCTCTCCCTCAGGACTCTAATTTTAGTGCTTTTCTCTGCTCCCTTCCATCATTCTCACCACTCCTCTGCCCTCTTTTCTCTCTCTTTATGTGTCAGTGAGTCTCTCAATCTCCTTCCTCTGGCCCATTCTCTGTGTGTTTATGTCTTTGCTTTTTGGTGTTCCTGATTTCTCTCTGTGCCTCTCAGTGATCCTTTCATATGTGGGGTTATTTGGAATGTGAGCCTCAGAATCCAGTCTGGAGACCACAAGTTCACACAGCATACAGGGGTTGGTGTTCTGGGGCCATGATATCCTGGGACGGTTACTCTCCATTACATGGAAGGCAGAGGTGTCAGAATAAACATGGCCTGTAGGTGCCACAAGGCCTGAGGCCACAGGGCCCAACTCAGGTCAGAAATATGGGTGTCCTTGGGTTCTCCTGGTAGAGAACACTTTGTGGAGGTAAAACAGAAATGAAACTTCTATCCTGTGCCAGGTCTGTGAGCAAAGTCAGCATGGAGGGACACCTCTCTCTGGGACATGTCTGTCTGTCTGTCTCCTTTAACTCTTTCTGTCTTTTCTAACTCCCTGTATGGCCCCTGTGTCTGTCCTCCGTTATGACACCTGGTCTGTACTTGTGTCTCCTGTTTCTCTGTCTCTGTTGGTACAAACCTCAGCAAGTCAGTCTCTCTCCATAAGAATACCAAGCTCATCTTCCTTACAACTACCTGGGGGTTCCAAGTCGTGGATCATTCACTCTGCAGCCCAATGACAATGAGAATGTCCGGACACTCTCACCTGTGATGACGATGTCCAGAGGGTCACTGGGAGCTGACAACTGATAGGGGGAGTGAGTAACAGAACCGTAGCATCTGTAGGTCCCTGCAAGGTCTTGCATCATGGGACCGATGGAGAAGTTGGCCTTGGAGACCCCATCATGGTGCTCTCCAATGAGGTGCAAAGTGTCCTTATACTTCCCCTCTCTGTGCAGAAGGAAGTGCTCAAACCTGACATCTGACCAACATTGCAGGATGACTGTCTCTTCTGATTTCACCAGGGGACCTGGGTGGGCCAGGAGGGAAGGTTTTCTGTGGACTCCTAAGAAGAGAGGTTGTGAGTTTAGAAGGTGTCTCTCTTTATCATCCCATCCATGGCACCTAGAATGAGTGAGGCTTCCCCTTGCTGGTGTCTGTCTCTCTCCTTCCTCTCTGTGTCTTCATGTTCTTTTCTGTGCCCATAACTCCTGGTGCAGGTCCTTCCATCTGTCTCCCTCCCTCTTCTCTGTCCCTCTGTCTCTAGTAGCCTCTGATTCCCTTCCCACTGGGCTTAGCCTCATCTCTTGGGGTGTTGTATCTATTTCACACTAACGTCTTTCCTGCTGTTTATGTGGGGGTGAAAGAGGAACCAGGATAGGCTGCACATCCAGGCTCTTATCAGCCTTGTTCAATCTCTTTTGGATGAATTGCAATCCTTGGCAGAAGGTATGAACTGATGAATAAGGCAGGCACCAGTGTCCACACACCCTGTTCCTGGTCGGGACTGGGAGCCACTCTTGCCATGCCTGTGCCTTCTCCATGGTGCCAGCTTCCATAGGCTGGCTCCTGGTGCTGGTTGGAGGAGTATCAACCCCTCCCTATGTGGATGGAGCCTGGTGGTGGCATCATCATCCCACCCTTGCTGATCTCAGGGTAGCCAACCTTCTCCTTGTTTGGTTTCTTTAATTAATTAATTAATTTTGGAGACAGAGTCTCACTCCTTCACCCAGGCTGGAGTGAAGTGGTGTGGTCTAGGCTCACTGCAACCTCTGTTTCCTGGGTTCAAGTGATTCTCCTGCCCTCAGCCTCCTGAGTCGCTAGGATTACATGCGCCTGCCACCATGCCTGGCTTTCCTTGGGTTGTTTCTTAACTTGTCCTTGACCTGGGTTCCAGTGTTGGTTTCCTGTTGCTGCTGTACAAAATTATCAGAAGCATGGAAGCAGGAGAGACCACACTGACACCTTCCAGTACTGGAGACAGAAATTGGACCCTATTTTTCCTGGGCTAAAATCAAGGCATCTGCAGGGCTTCGTTTCCTCTGGAGACTCTGGAGAATCAGTTCCTTGACTTTTCCAGCCTCTATAGGCCACCTGCATTCATGGCTCTTGGCCTTCCTCCACCTTCAAAGCTGGTGAAGACTTCCACTGGACTGCTCTAATCCCCACTCCCCTCTTCCTCCTCCTTTCATGTGCACCCTTGTGATTACACTGAGCCCAGTGGGACAGTCCAGGCTGTCTCCCCATGAGCTCCATCTTCCCCTTCAGTCCCTTCCCCTATAACATACATAGTCACAGACTCCAGGGATTAGAATGTAGTCATCACTGGGGACAATTATTCTTCCCACCACAGCACCCATTTCCCTGTATTCAATCCCCCTTTACCACAAATACAGTCAGGGCCTGCGTGATGGGACCCTCAAGGACATGCCCACCAGAAGCTCTGGGATTCAGGAGGTGGGACAAGGAGAATCCAAGACAGGAGCCCTCTGACCTATGACCACGATCACCAGGGGGTTGCTGGGTGCTGACCACCCACTGGGGGAGTGTGTGTGTGAACCCCGACATCTGTATGTCCCTGTTGTGCGGGGGTCACAGGGCCCATGAAAAGGCTGTTCCAGAATATTCTGTTGTAGAGCTCAGGGACAGGCACCCCACCTTCCTTGTACAGACTGAAGTTGTTAAACCCAAGATAAGAGTGACACCGAAGAATGACATGTCCTAGAGGCACCACAAGGCTGGGCCAGGCAGACAGCAAGGGCTTGTCCTGACCACCTTGGGGAGAAGGAGGCGCCGCCTTAGAGAGGAGGATGTGGAACTGCCCCTCCCTCCCTGTGCTCAGAAGATTCTCCTCGCTTTCCACGTTTCTATGGCTACTATCACACCTTGGTGCCCAGGGCTGAAGGAAGGACCCATCCCGCAAAGACATGGTGTCTCCCTACAACAAAAGCCTCAGCTGAGAACTTTGAGCAAGTGCTGAGTAAAGAGACTCCTACTAGATTTTAATACTGTAAGATTACTCACATAAAACAACACAGGGTAGACATGAGGTGGAGGGCATGTCCTTTGTGAGTGGATATCAGCGGATGCCTGAACGAAAATAAACAACTGAGCCCCCATCAGAGGATTTGGAATGTCAGGGCCATGGCTGTGGTTTCCCACCTCTTCTGGTAGAATGACAGCAGCCACACTGCAGCCCCTACCATCATGGAAACGCTGAAGTGTGTGAGTAACACCTTTGTCCTCAGAGGATCTGCTGTTCCTACCACTTCCCCACCACACACCCCAGCTTTGAGCACCCCAGTCTAACCCTGGTCCCCACAGAACTTGACTCTGCCAAGGGGTTGAGAGGCCAGGGAGGCAAGGTCAGAAATGTGGGCCGAGCACCCCAGGGTCCTCTCTTCCCAGTTTATGAGAGACTCCCTGACAGGACTTCCCTCCTGTTTCAGGAAAATCCTCTTATGTGGGGAGATGACAACCGAAGGTTTGGAGAAGGACTCACCCTCATGTGGCCAGGCCCCCTGCAGCAAGAAGAACCCTGGAAAGAAAGATCATGATGGACCATCCATCTGCAGGCAAACCAGGACTCCCTTGCTGCCCCCACTGGGCTGTGAGTCTTGGCAGCCAGGCCCTTCCTGGGCTGAAGTTAAACTCACCCTCAGTGCCTACCTGCACCCAAGAACAGGGCTGTCGGCTGTGCAGAGACCCAGTTTCCAGGCCCAGATCCCCACCACAAGCCCATATCTCCACTCCAGGCTGATATTTCCACCCTAGGCCCATATCTCCAATCCAGTCCCATATCTCTGCCCCAGGCCCAGATCTCCACCCTAAGCCCATATCTCCACTCCAGGCCCATATCACCTCTCCAGTCCCATATCTCCACACCCAGGCCCATATCTCCTTCCTAGGCCCATATCTCCACTCCAGGCCCAGATATCCACCTCTAGGCCCATAACTCCACTCCTGGCCCATATCTCCACTCCAGGCCCATATCTCTACTGCAGGCCCGTATCTCCACCTCCAGATCCATATCTCCACTCCAGGCCCATATCTCCACTCCAGGCCCATATCTCTACTGCAGGCCCATATCTCCATCTCCAGGCCCATATCTCCATCTCCAGGCCCATGTCTCCACTACAAGCCCATATCTCTACTGCAGGCCCATATCTCAACCTCCAGGCCCATATCTCCACTCCAGGCCCAGATCTCCACTTCTAGGCCCATCACTCCATCTCTAGGCCCATAACTCCACTTCCAGGCCTATATCTCCAACTCTGGGCCCCGATCTCCATCCCCGCACTCCCTCCCTCGATTCCCTTCCAGGACTCACCAACACACGCCATGCTGACGACCATGAGCGACATGGTGCTGTCTGTGCAGACAGGCGGCCGCGCCCCAGCTCAGCTCAGCAGCGCACAGGATGTTATTTGGCGCCCTGCCCATGCAGTTTACATGTTGACCACATCATGGGAGGGTGACGTACGCAGGCTCTTTCTACCTTGCATGAGGCCCAGTGGGTGCTCGCTCAAGAGCGGAACATGGCTTCCTGGAAATTGTTCTCACTAGAATTGACACCTTGCGTCCTTCACTACGACCAGACTCAAAAGACGTCTCAGATCCAACCTCTCATACACGAGATGATTGAATTCTGTGCTTACATTAAAGATTTTTGATGTATTTTTGTTTTTATCTGAGATTCAAACTCTTCTTCATATGTAATGTGCAAAATGTCTAACAGGTATTATTAACATTATCAGAGTAATTGTGACAAGAAGCCATTCTAATTTTCCTGCTTGAGTTTCTAGTACTAAACCAGAGGCATCAGAATAGCTTGAACCTGGGAGGCGGAGGTTGCAGTGAGCTGAGCTCAAGCCACTGAACTCCAGCTTGGGTGACAGAGGAAGAGTCTGTCTCAAGAAAAAAAAAAAGCAAACTAAATAACCTATAATAACAAATCAGAGGACTCAGGTTACCAAATTTTAAGGGGTTCTATAAGTTTATATAAAATGCAGCATCCTCATGAGAGGGGATACAGAGAACCACTGGACAGAAAACTGTGTCTAAAATACATCTGTGGATACACAGTCCCTTTATAGTTGACAAAGGCTGCCATGTAGTTTAAGGTGGAATAGAATATTTTCTCAACAAATAACACAGGACCATAGGGTTACACGTAGGAAAAAATAAATCTAAACTTATCCTCACACTATAAAAACACTTCTTATTTTTTATCTTGTTGTTGTAAATTTTTTATGCTTTATTTTTAAGATTGACAAATAAAAATTATATACCATGGTCCTTCACTATACCTGGGTGATTGGTTCCAGGATCCCCATTCAGATACCAAAATCTGCAGATGCTCAAGCCCCTTGCATGAAATGGCATAGTGAAGCTGGGCACCGTGGCTCACGCCCGTAATCCCAGCACTTTGGGAGGCTGAGCTGGGTAGATCACAAGGTCAGGAGTTCAAGACCAGCTGGTCCAACATTCTGAAACCCCGTCTCTACTAAAAATACACACACAAAAAAATTTATCTGTGCAGGGTGGCACGTGCCTGTAATCCTAGGGGAGGCTACTGAGGAGGCTGAGGGAAGAGAATCGCTTGAACCTGGAAGGCGGAGGTTGCAGTGAGTTGAGATCACGCCACTGCACTCCAGCCTGGGTGAGAGAGTGAGACTGTCTCAAAAAAAAAAATAGCATAGCAATTGCATAGAACCCATGCACATCCTCCTGTATACATGAAATCATCTCTTGATTACTTATAATTCCTGACACAGCCTACACGCCACTCAATTTGTGTCGATTCAACATAGTTTTTTGCTTTTTGAAACTTCGGGGATTTTTTTTCTCAAAATATTTTTGATTTATTGCTGATTCAATAAACATGTGTAAACCCCAGAGATATGGAGGAGTGACTGTCTATTTATAGTAGTATGAAAGATGATGTGTTGATACGTGTCCCTGTGGAGATGAGACTAACAAGGCCTATGACTCTACAAATGTTTCATCGTGGAATGACTCTGCCAGCTTTCCAGATCTGCAGAGAGTAAGAATATCACTTGTTCATCTGATTCACCATCCTTGGAACCTCCTATGTGCTGCATCTTTGGATGGAAACTGGAGTCTCAGAGACAATTCAGGCTCCACCCTGCTTCCAGAAGCTCAGAGTCCAGGGGTGAGAACCCAGCGGAGAACAGATGGGGTTATGTGGACGTGGTAATGATAACACCGGAAGCCTTAGGCAAGAAAAGAGTCCCATTGACGAAACCATGAGGGCAGACATGTTTACTTGAAGAATAGAAAACTACATTGAAATTATAAAAAAAATTTATAAGTTTTACTGCTGACAGAAGGCTGAAAGATACTCTGAGGAAAGGTGGAACAACATGAGGAAAGGTGGAATAGCATGTATCTAAGTGCCGTGTTAAGAGGGAGCCTCTTATATGTTTGGAATTGTGAGTTCCTCAGTGTGATCGCAGCCTCAAGTAGACTAGGAAGTAAGCCAGTTAGGTTGGAGAGGTGGGCAGGGGTCAAGTGAAATGGAGAATTGTGGGCTAAGCAAAGGAGTGTGTTTTCTCTCCAGCAGGCAGTGGGGACCTTAGACATTTGTAAGCAAGAGAGAGGCATGTTCAGATTCGTGGTGTGAGGAAGAGCGATGCCCTAAGATGCAGACTCACGCCTTCAGATTCCAGCTGCTGGTACATGGGAGCTGGCAACCCGGTTTTGAGACAGGGCTATTGTCTCCCTAGAAGATCCCATCAAGGCCTGACTGTGGTGCTGGTGGACAGAAGACAACTTTGGATCTGCGCTCAGCATTTGGAAGTTCCGTGTTACACGCTGGTATCTGTTGGGGGTGTCTTGGGCCTCTGAGAAGGGCGAGTGATTTTTCTCTGTGTGAAAACGCAGTGATTCAACTGTGCGTATGTCACCTCCTGAGGGTCTTGTTCATCAGAGTCCTGGAGGGAGGGAAATGCTGAGTGAGGGAGGGTGCTCACATTTTTCAGGACTCTTTGGGAATAAGACTAGCCATGAGGCTGGGCTGAGGAGCACCTACCTCCCTGTTCACTGTTCTGTTCCCTGCAGGCTCTTGGTCCATTACAACAGCATCTGTAGAAGACGGAAGTCGTCAAAACAGCTCGGAGGGCACTTCTGGGTCCTCATTTCATAAGCAGATACCAACATGCAGGGGGAGGCCATAGGTGCCTGAGGTCCCTCAGTTGCCAACAGCAGACTCAGACATTCTATCTCTCTGAGCTCAAGGACCCATCCCATGAATAGCTCTGAGTTCCCATCCCATTGATTCTGTCTCCCACTTTCTGCCTGTCATGGAACCTTCTCCTGGATGTGAGTGGCTGCAGGGGATGTGAGGATATGGTTCAGAATCAGGCAATGGTCTGTGAGCTGAAGGCAGGGGCAGGGAGTCTGGTGCTCTCTCTAGAAAGTCCTGCCTCTGTGGCTCCTGCCTTGGGTCAGGGACCATCCTGCCTGTAAGGAACACACACCTGAGTGCTCCCATCCTGCTTCCCCACATGGCCCTGAGCTCTCTGGCTTCTGCTTCGTGAGACTTACTCTTTTTGTTGGCACACCAGCGATGAAGGAGAAAGAAGAGGAGGATAGCAAAGGGGATGATGACCACTGAGGTCCCAATCAGAGCGTGCAGGTATCTGGAGTTACCTGGAGGAAGACAAGACACCAATAAGAAGCTAATCATAGCAGTTCCTCTATATGAATTGTCTCACATTTCTTGATTGACAGGTAACCACATACAACGTCTCTTTAGGACAAGCACCCAGATGGCGGGAGACCTAGCTTCCTCCTGCTTTCT
The DNA here is from genome assembly GCF_000001405.40 of Homo sapiens. Lineage (NCBI taxonomy): Eukaryota > Metazoa > Chordata > Mammalia > Primates > Hominidae > Homo > Homo sapiens. The sequence goes on along the minus strand of NT_187677.1, from coordinate 26,065 downwards.
CAGTTGTAGTAACCATAGAACGTGCTGAGGATACAACTGCTTTAGTTTAGATGTTTGACCACTTCAAACCTCACATTGAAATGTAACCCCCAGGGTGGGAGGTTGGGCCTCTTGGGAGGTGTTTGGGTCATGGAGGTGGATCCATCATGAACAGATCAATGCTGTCCCAAGGAGATGGGGTTAGCAAGTTCCCCCTCTATTAGTTCCTGGAGAGCTGGTTGTTAAAAAGAACTTGGAAGCTCCATCGCTCCCCCTCCCCCTTGCTCCCTCTCTTGCCGTGTGATCTCTGTGGTCTCTGCACAGATAGACCCTCCTTCCCTTCTGCCAGAGCGGGAGCAGCCTGAGGCCGTCACAAGAAATAGATGCTGGTGCCATGCTTCCAGTACAGCCTGCAGAACTGTGAGGCAAACACATTTCTTTTCTTTAGAAGTTACCCAGGCTCAAGTGTTCCTTTAGAGCAACAAAAATGGACTAAGACAGCAAAGTCCTGAGATCAGGAGGAACATCCCAGAACAGCCTGGGCTGTCTTCCTGTTCTTCCTGGAGGAGGACGTCATGCAGTGCTTTAGCTGAGTGCTTCCTGTGGCTCCAGGGTACAAAACCCAGGCTGGGCTGCTTTTTGATTTCCCCCAGATACACTGCATATGGGGTGACTCCACATGTCTCGAGCAGCTTTTCTGAGCCTTGAGGGACTGGCTCACATTGAAATGTAGGCTTCTGTTGTCACTCGCTGCTTATCTGTTAGTAATGAACCTGCCTGTGTAATGTGTTCTCTGTGTGTTCTGTCTCCCTGGAGTGACGGTGAGTGATAGGAATTGGTATAGGCCCAGGTACATTCCAGGAGGTGTTTAGAGTCTTCTCTGGGAAGACTGGATTGGGATTGATACACAGCGAATGTGCTTTACAGTTTCTACCACCACAACCCTCTTGACTCAAAAAAATTACATTCTCCAAGAAAAGAAAGAAAAAATGAAATCAAGATAAAAAAAGTGAAGTAGAACTGACTTAAATCAAACAGCCATGAAATAATGATGTAGCCCAGGAACAACATGCTACTTTTTGTGATCTGCTGAGACATATATTAGGCTGCTATTCCACCCGAGAAGCACGGGGAAGGACCGCCCTCTCCGTCGTTTATTGTTTCAATACAGCCTGTCCTTCTGTGAGTTAGTACGAAATGTGACCAGGGGCTAGTGCTGGCACTGGTCTCTGAGTCCAAGATCTGAGCTCACTCCAAAGAGTATTAGTGTTTACCTCCCCATGATCTATCTGTATCTCCATAGGTGATTGGAAGTAGAGATGAATTGGGGGATTTGGGTGAAGGGGCAAGTTTTATGCCATGAACAGAGCATGTTCTCTATTCCAGGACCTGTGCTGGTGGGTTCAGGAGGCTTTCACATTTTCCATATGATCCCAAGCTCACAGAAAGCCAAATAAGGAAGAGGTTTAACCTGATTGTTTAATGGATAAGATAAAGGGTCAAAGAATTAAATACAGAGAAATAGAAAAATGATGGTTGGTATCCAGTTGCCTTTGTAATTTCTGTGTGTCATATTATAATTATGTATGTTTTATTTTTATTTTTTGAGACAGAGTCCCCCTGTGTCAGGCTGGAGTGCAGTGATGCGATCTCAGTTCAACCTCTGCCTCCAGGGTTGAAGCCATTCTTCTGCTTCAGCCTCCCCAGTCGCTGGGATTACAGGCAGGTGCCAATGCACCAGGCTAATTTTTGTATTTTTAGTACAGACGGGGTTTCACCATGTTGGCCAGGCTGGTCTCAAACTCCTACCCTTAAGTGATCTACCCGCCTTGGCCTCCCAAAGTGTTGGGTTACAGGTGTGAGCCCCCATCCACAGTCTTGTATATTATATTATACTAGGTCCCTTCATTTGCACCACCCCTCATGTGTCTATCGCTCCTCTGCCAGGTATTGATTTAGATGTAGAAAAAAAACACATCTCAGAAAGAAATTAATGAAACAAGGATTAAACTACTAGGAAAAATCAAACCCAGCAAGCCCTCCCTGCAAATGATTCTACCTCACAAGCATAGCTTATATCCATCTTTCATTCATTTAGTGTGTAAATCAACCCTACGTTTCACCAGTGGGGCGGGAATTGCCTTTTCCACGGTCTCCTAGATTCCAGTTACGCACCTGGGCCTCCCTTATTTTCATGTCGGTCACTGTTAATCAGGTAGGGATTCCTAGTTAGCTCTGAGTTGAATCCAAGGGCTGTGAGTATCAAAAACATGCTCCTTGTTCCTCCTTAGTTTCCTGTGTACCCAGTGTGCTCTCCATCTCTCTACAGTTGTCTTGTCATTCTCCCCATCTCATTCCCAGCATTTGAGGCAGAGCCTCTTCCTTGAACTAAGAATGTTTCCACCTTTGTGCCTTCACGGCTGAGAGCTCAGTGTGGAAAATCCTTCCGCCAATCTTCCAAGGGTTGAATCCATTTTTTCCATTAAGGTCACAAATATTATCTGATCAGTGAGACCTTCTCTGTCACCTGAAATTATATACTCAGCATTATCTATTACTTATTTTAAATCCTGGCTGGGCGCAGTAGCTCTCGCCTGTAATCTTTGCACTTAGGGACGCTAAGGCGGTGGGATCACTTGAGATTGGGAGTTTGAGACAGCCTGCACAACATGGTGAAACCTCATTTCTACTAAAAAATATACCAAAAAAATTAGCCGAGTGTGGTGGCGCACAGCTGTAATCCCAGCTACTCAGTAGGCTGAGGCAGGAGAATTGCATGAACCCAGGAGGCAGAGGTTGCAATGAGCTGAGATTGTGCTACTGCACTCCAGCCTGTGGAACAGAGAGAGACTCTACTCAAAAAAAAAAAAAGAAAACAAAAAAAACACACACACACAAAAAACCCCAGATTTGGTGCACAGATGCTTCCCAATGGATCATTCATTTATTGGTACCCTTGTGCATTCATTCTCTGCCCTCGCATTTACCCATCTGCAATATCAGCGTCCCAAGAGCAGAGGCCAAATGCATCCTGTTTACCATTTGTGGAAGGCAGGAGAATGCTGCCCCACCCCCAAAATGTCCCTGTCTTAGCCTCCATAGCTTGTGAATATGTTATTTTACAGGAAAGGAGGAATGAAGATTGCAGATGGCATTACGGTTGCTAATCAGCTGAACTTAAAAAGAGGGTACGCTGGATGATTTTAGGGAGATTGAGATGGATTATCTTGGTGACCCCAATAGAATCCCAAAGTCCTTAAAAGATGAGGAAGAAGGCAGAGCAGGATTCAGAGAAAAAGGTATGGGTAAAGAAGAAGAGTCTGAATGATGCCATGTGAGACGTGACCAGCCTTTGTGGGCTTTGAGGAAGGAGGAAGGAGGAAGGGGACCAGGGGCCCAGGAACGTGGGAGCCTCTAGGAGCTGGGAAACGTTAAGGAGCAGATTCTTGCTTGGAACCTTAAAAAGAAATCCAGCCTTACTCTCCCTTTGATATCAGCCCAGTGAAATGCAGTTCATACTTCTGAGTTACAGCACTGTGAGATAATTAAGAAAAACATGTTTTCATCCACGAAGCTTGTGGAAATTTGTTATGGCAACAATAGGAAAAGATTCCACACTGCACAGCCAGAGCATGGGGCATTGGCTGAACGAGTGAGTGAGTGGAAGTGTCGTGTGCATAAATAAGCTAAATTCTCTCTTACTGCACGTCTCTTGCTCTGCTGAGTCAACCAGGGTTTCATCTGGTACACTGCTGATACGAATGTAAATTAGTACAGCCATTACAGAGGAGAAGAGTATGGAAGTTCCTCAAAAAATAAAATGAGGTCGGGCACAGTGGTTCATGCCTGTAATCCCAGCACATTGGGAGGCCGAGGTGGGTAGGTCACTTGAGGTCAGGAGTTGAAGAGCAGCCTGGCCAATATAGCGAAACTCTGTCTCTACTAAAAATATAAAAATTAGCCGAGTGTGGTGGTGGGAGCCAGTAACCCAGCTACTTGGGAGGCTGAGGCTGGGGAATCTCTTGAATCCTGGAGGTGGAGGTTGCAGTGAGCCCAGATGGCACCACTGCACTCCAGCCTGGGCAACAAGAGTGAAACTGTCTAAAAAAAACAAAAACAAAAACAAAAACCATAAAACAAAATGTAAAAAGACACTTCCAGAGGATCTAGCAATTCCATGACTGGGTATAAACCCAAAGGAAAGGACATCAGCGTATCGAAGTGACATCTGCACTCCCATGACTGTTCCAGCAGTGTTCACAGTAGCCAAGATGTGGATCAACCTACCCGCCCATCAGTGGGTGAATGGATGGAGAGAATGTGGTACACACACACAATAGGGACAACTCATCCATAGAAAGAGTAACATCCTGTCATTTACAGCCACATGAATGGAACTGGAGGTCATTACAAGTATTTCCATTTCTCACTCATATGCAGGAGCTAAAAGGTGGATCTCACAAAGGTAGAGAGTAGAATGGTGGCTACCAGAGGCCAGGAAGGGAAGGGTGGAGGGTAAAAAAAAAAGAATACTAATTAATTAATTAATTAATTTTGAGAGAGTGTCTCTCTCTGTTGCCCAGGCTGCAGTGCAGTGGCATGATCTCAGCTCACTGCAACCTCCGCCTCCTGCAATTAAGTGCAACTCCTGCCCAACCCTCCCAAGTAGCTGGGACTACAGGCATGTGCCACCATGCTCGGCTAATTATTATCATTATTATTATTATTTTGTATTTTTAGTACAGATGGATTTTCCCCATGTTGGCCAGGGTGGTCTTGAGCCCCTGATCTCAAATGATCCACCTGCCTTGGCCTCTCAAAGTGTTGGGATTACAACCGTGAGCCACCGTGCCCAGCCTATAAATGTATTTATGAACAGTAGACTTCACACTTAAAAATGGTAAAGGTGGTAAATTACATAGGTATATTTCACCTCAATAAATATTTCTTCAAACAAAAAGAAAAGGGTGTAGGCGTTGCTGGTGATGACATCTCTCTGTGGGTGACAGGCCAGGATGGGCTTCTGGGAAGTGGGTAAGGTTGAGGGGCTGAGAGAACCTCTGATCTCCCCAGGCAGAGCCCAGTCTCCCTCCTCTGGGTCTGTTCTGACCTCTTTCTCCATCTGCCTGGGTGCCTGGAACCCTGATCAAGGGCCTCCTTGCAGGCCATACAGGAGGGTTTGGAGGTGCCCTGTCTGCCATCCTGCGCCCTGACCCCGCCCTTACACCCATGCTGTGTGTTCTGTCTCGGCATCTGTCCATGCTTCTCTCCATCATCAGCAGGAAGCTCCTCAGCTATGGCTCTAGGATCACAAGACATGGGACAGGCATGGTGTTTTCTCACCTGTGACAGAAACGGGCAGTGGGTCACTCGGGTCTGACCACGCGTGGGGCAGGGCACGGAAAGAGCCGAAGCATCTGTAGGTCCCTCCGTGGGTCACAGGGCCCAGAGGGAAGTTGGCCTGGAATGTTCCATTGACCCTCAGCACCGCAGTGAGCCTAAGTTCACCGGCCTCTGCCTCCCTGGATAGATGGTAAATGTCAAACAAGCTCCGGGAGCTGCAGGACAAGGTCACATTCTCTCCTGCCTGAACCGTGGGGCCCGGCTGGGCTGAGAGAGAAGGTTTCCCATATAGACCTGGAAGAAGAAGAGGTGGTTTCCTCAGGGAGGTTCTTCCTTGTCACAGCTCTCCTCACACCTGAGCTGAGAACTCACTCCCCTGCTCTATGACTTAATGCTCTCTTTCTCTCTCTCACCCTCCACCCCCATCTCTCTTCATGTCTATTTCCTCCTTCCACCTTCTCTGTCTCTCTAGGTCTCTGACCTCACTTCTCCATCCCTAGCTATGTTTTCTTTTTTTGTACCATTTTATTCTCTCTGACCCTCCTTGGACTGGTTGACTTGATCTTCCTCTTTCTTTAATTCTGAGTCTCTCACTTTCTGTCTTGCTCATAACTTTCTGCATATTTCTATCTACTATCTATTGATCGATCTATCATTTATCTATGTATGTATCTATCATCTATCATCATCTGTGTATCTATGACCTATCTCTCTGTTATCTATCATCTATCAATCAATGTATGTATGTATGCATCTATCCATCTATCATCATGTGTTTATCTGTCTTTCTATCTCTCTATATCTATTTATATATCATCTGTCTGTCTTTCTACTTGTCTATCTATATCATCTATCAGTCATTCATCATCTATTTGTCTATCACCTGTCTCTCTATTATCTATCATATACCTTTTATCTTTCATCTATCTATATCTATCTATCCATCTATCATCTGTCTCTCTCCATCTCCTTGTCTTTCTCTGCCTCTCAGTCTCTCTAGTTCCCTTTTGGAGTCTCTGCAATCCATCCCCACATCTTTATCTTTCCCTGTCTTTGTGCCCCTCCCTCAGGGCTCTGATTTTAGGGCTTTTCTCTGCTTCCTTCCATCATACGCTCCACTTCTCTGCCCTCTTTTTCTGTCTCTTTATGTGTCTGTGAGTCTCTCAATTCCCTTCTTCTGGCTCATTCTGTGTGTGTGTTCATGTCTTTGCTTTTTGATTTCCCTGATTTCACTCCGTGTCTCTCTGTGGGCTTTTGTTCTCAGTAATCCTATAACATGTGGTGCTATTTGAATATGAGCCTCAGAATCCAGTATGGGGACTCCAGGAACTCACAACATACAGGGGTTGGTGTTCTGCTCCCTCACCTGGGGCCATGGTGTCCTGGGACGATGACAGCTCCACTGCACGGAAGGCAGAGGTTTAAGAATAAACACAGCATCTGTAGGTGCCACCAGCCTGGGGCCACACGGCCCAACTCAGGCCAGATAGATGTGTCTCTTTGGGTTCTCCTGGGAGAGAACACTTTGTAGAGGTAAAACAGAATGGAACCTTCTAACCTGTGCCTGGTCTCTGAACAAAGTCAGCATAGAAGGACACCTCTCTCTGGGATATATCTGTCTCTCTGTGTCTTCTTTACCTCTTTATCTCTTTTTCTAACACCTTGTATGGCCCCTGTGTCTGGCTTCTATGTTATGACATGAGGTCTGTACTTGTGTCTCCTGTTTCTCTGCCTTTGTTGGTACAGACCTCACCAAGTCACTTTCTCTCCATAGGAACCCCACACTCATCTTCCTCATGACCACCTGGGGCTTCCAGTCCTAGATCATTCACTCCATCTCCCAGCAAGGGTGAGAGGCAGGTCTGTATTCTCTCACCTACGACCACGATGTCCAGAGGGTCACTGGGAGCCGACAACTCATAGGGTAAGTGAGTGACAGAACCAAAGCATCTGTAGGTCCCTGCAAGGGCAGGTGTCATGGGACCCATGGAATAGTTGACCTGGGAACCCGCATCGTGGAGCTGTCCAACGAGGCGCAAGGGGTCCTCAGTGATCCCCTCTCTGTGCAGAAGGAAGCGCTCAAAACTGACATCTGACCAACATTGCAGGATGACCGTCTCTCCCGATTTCACCAGGGGACCTGGGTGGGCCAGGAGGGAAGGTTTTCTGTGGACTCCTAAGAAGAGAGGTTGTGAGTTCAGAAGGCGTCTCCCTTTCTCATCCCATTCATGGGACCTGAAATAAGTGAGGCTTCCCCTCCATGGTGTCTATCTCTCTCCTTCCTCTCTGTGTCTCCGTGTTCTTTTGTGCCCATAACCCCTGTTGCAGGTCCCTCCATCTGTCTCCCTCCCTCTTCCCTGTCTCTCTGTCTCTAGTAGCCCTGATTCCCTTCCCACTGTGCTCAGTGTCACCTCTTAGGCTGTTGTATCTGTTTCCCACTAATCTCTTTCCTGGTGTTTATGTAGGGGTGGAAGAGGAACCACGACAGGCTGCATGTCCAGGCTCTTAGCAGCCTGAATCAATCTCTTTTGGACAGATTGGAAAGGCTGGCAGGAGGTACGAACTCATCAGTAAGGCAGGCATCAGTGTCCCTGTTCCTGATGGGGATTGGGAGCCTCTCCTGTCATGTCTGTGCCTTCTCCATGGCCCCAGCTTCCATAGGGTGGCCCCTGGTGCTGGTTCCAGGAGCATCAACCCCTCCCTATGTGGATCGAGCCTGGTGGTAGCATCAGTATCCCACCCATGCTAAAATCAGTGTAGCCAACCTTCTCCTTGTTTGGTTTCTTAACTTGTGCTTCACCTGGGTTCCTGTGTTGGTTTCCTGTTGCTGCTGGAGAAAATTGTCACAAACATGGGGCAGGAGAGAATACAATGACCCCTTCCACTTCTGGAGAACAGAAATCGGACCCAGTTCTCTCTGGGCTAAAATCAAGGCATCTACAGGGCTGTGTTTCCTCTGGAGACTCAGGGAAGAATCAGTTCCCTTGACTTCTCCAGCCCTTAGAGGCCAACTGCCTTTGTGGCTCATGGCCTTCCCCCATCTTCAAAGCCCGCTGTGGCTGATGGAGTCTCCCTCCCACGACGTTGCTCTAACCCCACTTTCCTCTTCCTCCTCCTCTCATGAGGACCCTTGTGATTACTCTGAGCACAGCAGGACAGTCCAGGCTGTCTCCCCATCGCAAGGTCAACTCATCAACAACCTGAGCTCCATCTTCCCCTTCAGTCCCCTGCCCTATGACATAAATAGTCACAGGGTTCATGGATTACCATGTAGCCATCACTGGGGACAATTATTCTTCCCACCACAGCAACTATTTCTCTGTACTGAATCCCCCTTTACCCCAAATACAGTCTGGGCCTGGATGATTGGACCCTGATGGACGCCCCCACCAGAAGCTCTGGGATTCAGGAGGTGGGACAGTGAGAAGCCCAGACAGAAAGCCTCTGACCTGTGACCATGATCACCACAGGGTTGCTGGGTGCCGACCACCCAGTGGGGGAGTGTGGGTGTGAACTGCAACATCTGTAGGTCCCTGCATGTGCTGGGGTCACAGGGCCCATGAGAAAGCTGTTCCGGAATATTCTGTTGTAGAGCTCAGGGACAGGCATCCCGTCTTCTTTGGACAGACTGAATTCGTTAAACCCAAGACGAGAGCGACACTGAAGAGTCACATGTTGTCCTTCAGACACCACAGTGCCGGGCCAGGCAGAGAGGAAGGGCTTGTCCTGACCACCTGGGGGAGAAGGAGGCACTACCTTAGAGAGGAGGATGTGGAGCCGCCCCTCCCTCCCTGTGCTCAGAAGATTCTCCCATTTCCACGTTTCTAAGGCTCCTACCACACCTGGGTGCCCAGGGCTACAGGAAGGACCCATCCCGCATAGACATGGCGTCTCCCTACAGCAAGTGTCAGCTGAGAACTTTGAGCAGGTGCTGAAGAAGCGACTCTTACTAGATTTTAACACTGCAAAATTACTTACATAAAAGAACACAAGGTAGACACAGGATGGAGGGCATGATCAGCTAATGCATGAACCATAATAAACAACTGAGCCCCTATTAGAAGATCTGGAATGTCAGGGTCATGACTGTGGTTCCCCCACCTCTTAGGTAGAATGACAGCAGCCACATTGCAGCCCCTACCGTCATGGAAACGCTGGAGGGTGTGAGTTATGCTCTTGTCCTCAGAGGCCTGTTGTTCCTTGCACTGCTTCTCTCCCTTCCTCTGCCGGTGACACCACTTCCTCCCTGCACACCACTCCTTTGAGCACTTCAGTCTCCCCCTGGGTCCCCACAGACTCAGCCAAGGGAAAGAAAGGCCGGGGAGGGCTAGGACAGAACTGTGGCGAAGCTTCCCCTGGCTTCCTTTTCCTAGTTCATGAGAGATTCCCACATGGCTTCCCATGGTCAGCCCATCAGTCAACCCCCTGTGTCGCCTGCCTCCCGTTTCAGGAACATCATCTTATGTGGGGAGATGACAACCTAAGGTTTGGGGGAAGGACTCACCTACATGTGGCCAGGGCCCCTCCAGCAAGAAGAACCCTGGAAAGAAAGATCATGATGGATGATCCATCTGTACATCACCTCCAGGCCCATATCTCCACTCCAGGCCCATATCTCCACCTCCGTCCTATATCTCTACTCCAGGCCCATATCTCCACTCCAGGCCTATATCTCCACCTCTGTCCTATATCTCTACTCCAGGCCCATATCTACACTCCAGGCCCATATCTCCACCTCCAGGCCTGTATCTCCACCTCCAGGCCCGTGTCTCCATTCCAGGCCCATATCTGCACTCCAAGCCAACATCTCCACTCCAGGCCCATATCTCTACTCCAGGCCCATATCTACAGTTCCAGGCCCATATCTCCACCTCCAGGCCCATATCTCCACTCTAGGCCCATATCTCCACCTCCAGGCCCGTATCTCAATTCCAGGTCCATATCTGCACTCCAAGCCAATATCTCCACTCCAGGCCCATATCTACAGTTCCAGGCCCATATCTCTACTCCAGGCCCATATCTCTACTTCAGGCCCATATCTACAGTTCCAGGCCCATATCTCCACTCCAGGCCCATATCTCCACCCCAGGCCCATATCTCCACTCCAGGCCTATATCTCCACTCCAGGCCCATATCTCCACTCCAGGCCCATATCTCCACTCCAGGCCCAGATCTCCACCCCACCGCTCCCTCCCTCGATTCCCTTCCAGGACTCACCAACACACGCCATGCTGACGACCATGAGCGACATGGTGCTGCCGGTGCAGACAGGCGGCTGCGCCCCAGCTCAGTTCAGCAGCACACAGGATGTTGTGAGGGGCTCATGCAGTTTACATGCTGACCACATCATGGGAGGATGACGTATGCAGGCTATTTCTACCTTGCATGAGGCCCAGTGGCTGTTTGGTCAAGAGCAGAACATGGCTTCCTGGAAATTGTTCCAACTAGAATTGACACCTTGCATCCTTCACTATAACCAACTCAAAACACGTCTCAGATCCAATCTCTCATACAGGAGATGACTGAATGCTTGGCTTACATTAAAGACTTTTGATGTATTTTTGTTGTTTTTATCTGAGATTCAAACTCTTCTTCATGTGCTATTTTCCCCAGGCTGTTCTTTGACTTCAGAGTTCAAGCAATCCTCCTGCCCCAGCATTTCTAGCAGCTGGCAGTATGTCACAATCTGCCACACCCAAGTCACAACTTTTAGAACTTTTTTTTTTTTTGAGACGCAATCTCACTTCGTCACCCAGTTTGGAATGCAGTGGTGAGACCTCGGCTCATTGCAGCCTCCACCTCCCAGGTTCACGCAATTCTCGTGCCTCAGCCTCCTAAGTAGCTGGATTTACAGGCACCCACCACCACGCCCACCTAATTTTTGTACTTTTAGTAGAGAGGAGGTTTCTCCATGTTGGCCAGGCTGGTCTTGAACTCCTAACCTCAAGTGATCTGTCTACTTCAGCCTCCCAAAGTGCTGAGATTACAGGTGTGAGCCACCATGCCTGGCCGGGACATTCTATATGTGTGCGTATGTGTGCATTTATATACATATGGTTATACACACACACACACACACACACACACACACACCCTAAGCACTCACATATATAGTTGTTTCAAATTTTAAAAAATATAAATTTTGTATTTTTCTTTCTTTTTCTCACATTTGTGTTTCTATGACACCATATACATATTGAATTTTATAGCTCTATTTTATTCTTTTGGATTGCAGTTTAATAGTCCATGCATAACTTTATCAACATGTAATTATCCATTCTTTTTATCATGGACATTTGTGTTGTTTCCGGATTTTCTCTTTTATAACTCGGGCCTTGATAATCGTGTTTCTGTGTGATCCCTTGCATACATATGCTGAATTAATTAGACATATTTACCTAGAAATGAAATTATTGGTTTTGGGTGCAAGTTGGTGTTGAGCTTAACCAGGAAGTGCCAAAATATTTCCATCATGACCAAATGTGGCCTGGAAAGTTTTTTGGGGTCAATTTTCCTGTTTCTTCTAAGGAACAAAATTGATGTCACTGATTTTTCTGTCCTGTTTGTCATTTATGAATGTATGTACATATGCACGTATATATTTGCTTGCCATTTTATGTTTTTCCTCGACGTTACTTTGGAATTAATTTGCTGATGTGTAGTATTTCTGCAAGTGAAAGTTACCTATTTACTCAGCTCTTCCTTCTTTTCTAACACAGACATTTGAGGCTTATTGTCCCTTAACGCTGTTCTATCTGTATCCCCAGTCATTTGCCGAGATGTGTTTTCATTTTTAATTGATACAAAATATTTTCCACCTTTCTTTGAAATGTTTTTCTTCCACTCATTGTTTATTGCTATGTGTGTTTATTAATTTTAAAATATTTGATAATTTCCCCAGCATTTCCTTGTTGTACATTTATAATTTAATTCAACTGTTTCATCTATCATATTACCTATGATTCAGCATTTAAAAATTTATTTTGGTGAATGTTCCAGGGGTGCTAGACAAGTTTGTGGATTAGGAAGATTTGAGGTGGATGCTTTCTAAATGTCAGTTAAGAAAAAAATCATTCAAATGTTTTTCTTTATTTAAAAAAAATAGAGACGGGGTCTCACTATGGTGCCCAGGCTGGTCTCAAACTCCTGGCCTCAAGTGATCCTCCCATTTTGGCCTCCCAAAGTGCTAGGATTATTGAAATTATTAAATGTTTCATATCAACACCCAACCTTATGCACCCGCCGCCTACACAAATGTTTTTCAAGTCTTTCATATGCTTAATAATTTTCTGTGTACTTGTTCTGGAAGTGAGGTGAATGTTGCTATCTCTAGCTGCAATTTGGATGTGATTGATTATGTTTTGAATTGTGCCTTTAATTTAATGTGTTTTGAGGTTCCAGCTTTAGGTGTGTAGGCATTTAGGATGATTATGTCTTATTTATGAATTTGCCTCTTTGTCATTATGAAGTACTCCTCTTCATATCTCCATATATCTCTTCTTTGTATGTGCATGGTGAAATATTTCATTCTTTGAGTTAAGAAACTTCTATTGAGGAATACTTTTTATTACAAACATTTACCTATTCTATGTATACAACTGACTAGAAGCATATTTTGCACTGGGCATTATCATGACAAGGTAATGTCATTCTTTCAATATTTACATCTTGTGGATTAGTATTTGAAGTGCAGCTTATGCAGACAGCATAAGGTTGGGTGTTGATATGAAACATTTAATAATTGCACACGTATTTGCCTCTTGGGATACTTCCACTTTTTTGAATTTCAAGTTACTAAATGGTATCATTAATCTTTGCTTCAAGAGCTTAACATTTATTGTAGAACAATGCTTCATGTAATAAATTGTGAGACATTTTTAATGGCACCTTTATTGCAGGAAAATGTTTTCCTTTTCAGGTTGAAAGATTCTAGTTTGAAATATTTTCTTGTAGCACTTTAAAAATGTTGGTCCACCTGTTTCTTACTTTCATAGTTTTGAATACAAAGTTTGCTGTCATTCTTGTATTTCTTCTTCTGTTTTTTATTTATTTATTTTTGACAGAATATCTTGCCGTCTCACCCAGGCTGGAGTGCAGTGGCATGATCTTGGCTCACTGCAACCTCTGCCTTCCAGGTTTCAGCAATTCCTGCCTCAGCCTCCTGAGTAGCTGGGACTACAGGCATGCGCCACCATACCCAGCCAATTTTTTTTTTTGTATTTTTTTTTGTAGAGATGAAGTTTTGCCATATTGGCCAGAACTCCTGACCTCAAATGATCCACCTGCTTTGGCCTCCCAAAGTGCTGGGATTACAGGTGTGAGCCACTGTGCTCAGGCTATTTATTCCTTTTTATATAATATGAATTCACATTCATACATACCAGGGGTTAGGATTTCAACAAACGTTTCTGGGGGAGACCACTCAAAACACAGCACTCATCCTTGGTTATTTCCAGCCATGGAGCCTGTATCAATATCCTGGTGAATTATCTAAGCTGTCCACCTACCTACCCCAAATCCTCATGGTCACATAAAAGGCTAGTATAGTATAATAATTTTTCTTTCCCTGCTTATCTACAGTGATGAAGAAACGAATATTCAAAGGGAAAAATCTTAGCTTTAGGTATAGGGTAATTCTTCTTCCTATTTTTAAATAACTTCAACCTTTACTGTAGATTAAAGGTATGCATGCAGGTTTGTTACATAGGCATATTGTGTGACTCTGAGGTTTGTGGTTCCAACAATGCCATCACCCAGGCAATGAGCATAGAATCCAACAGGTGTTTCTTCAGCCTATACCTCCCTACTCCTCCCCCCATCTGTAGTCCTCGGTATCTGTTGTTTCCATCTTTATGTTCATGTGTATTCAATGTTTGGTTCTCAGTTATAAGTGATAACATGTGGTATTTGGTTTTCTGTTCCTGGATTAGTTCACTTAGGAGATTGACCTCCTGCTACATTCATGTTGCTGCAAAGGACATGATTTCATTATTTTTTATGGCCATGTAATGTTCCATGTGTATATGTAGCACATTTTCTTTAACTAATCCACTGTTGGTGAGCACTTAGGTTGACTGCAAATCTTTGCTATTCTGAATTGCACAGCAATGAATATACTAGTGCATGTGTCTTTTTGACATAGTTAATTACCTTCCTTTTGGTATATACCCAGTAGTGGGATTGCTTGATTGAATAGTAGTTCTATTTTAAGTTATTTGAGAAGTCTCCAAACTGCTTATCACATTGGCTGAACTAGTTAACATTCCCACCAAGAGTGTATAAGTGTTCCCTTTTCTCCACAATCTTGTCAGCATCTGTTATTAAAAAAAACAAAAAACTTTTTAGTAATTGCTTCTGCTTCTCTGATTGTTGTGAGATGGTATCTCACTGTGGTTTTAATTTGCATTTCTCTGATGATTACTGATAATAAGCATTTGTTCATATGTTTTTTGGCCATGTGTACATCTTCTTTTGAGAAGTGTCTGTTCATGTCATACTTAATTGAGGTTTTTTGGTTTTCTGCTTGTTGATTTGTTTACATTCCTTATAGATTCTGGATATTAGAACTTTGTCAGATGCATAGTTTGCAAATATTTTCTCCCAGTCTGTAGGTTATCTGTTTACTCTGTTGATACTTTCGTTTGCTGTGCAGAAGCTCTTCAGTTGAGTTAGGTCCCAATTTCTGTCTTTGTCACAATTGGTTTTGGGGAGTTAGCCATAAATTCTTTGCCAAAGTCTATCTTGAGAAGGATATTTCCTAGGTTTTCTTCTAGAATTTTAATATTTTGAGGTTTTACATTTAAATCTTTAAACTATCTTGGGTTAATTTTTGTATATAGTGAGAGTTAGGGGTCCAGTTCTATTATTTTGCATATGAGTAGTCAGTTATCCCAGAACTATTTATTGAAGAAAGGGTACTTTCCACATTGCTTGTTTTTGTCAATTTTTTCAAAGATGATTGTAGGTATGTAGCCTCATTTCTGGGTTCTCTATTCTGTCTCATTGGTCTATGTGTCTGTTTTTGTCGTAGTATCATGCTGTTTGGGTTACTATAGCATTGTAGTATAGTTTGAAGTTGGGTAATGTGATGCCTGGGCTTTGTTCTTTGTGCTTAGGATTCCTATGTGTATTCAGGCTCTTTTTTTGGTGCCAAATACATTTTAGAATAAATTTTTATAATTTCGTGAAAAATGACATTGCATTTTGAAATGGATAGCATTGAGTCTGCAATTTGTTTTTGGAAGTATGGCGATTTTAACTATTTGTTCTCCTAATTCATGAGCATGGAATATTCTTCCATTTGTTTGTATCATTTCTTATTTCTTTCAGAAGTGTTTTGTAGTTCTCCTTGTAGAGAATTTTCACCTTCTTGGTTAGATGGATTCCTAGGTATTTTATTTTCTTTGTGGCTAGTGTAAATGGAATTGTGTTCTTGATTTAGTTCTCAGCTAGAATGTTAGTGGTGCATAGAAATGTTACTAATTTGTGTACATTTTTTTAATCCCGAAACTTTATTGAATTTGTTTATCAGTTTCAGGAGCCTTCTGACAGAGTCTTTAGGGTTTTCTATGTATAAAATTATTTCATCAGCAAAGAGAGACAGTATCACTACTTCTTTTCCAATTTTAATGCCTTTTATTTCCTTCTCTTGCCTGATTGCTTTGGCTAGGACTTCCAGTACCATGTTGAATTAAAATGGCGGGAGTGGTCATCCTGGTCTTGTTTCGGTTCTCAAGGGGTATGGTTCCAGCTTTTGCCCATCAATATGATGTTGGCTGTGGGTTTGTCATAGATGGCTCTTAATATTTTGAGGTATGTTCCTTTGATGCCTATTGACAGTTTTTATCATGAAGGGATGTTGGATTTTACAGAAAGCTTTTTCTGCATCTATTGAGATGATCATATAGTTTTTGTTTTTAATTATGTTTATGAGGTGAATCACATTCGTTGACTTTGTAGGTTGAACCAACCTTGCATCCCAAAAATAAAGCTTACTTGATCATGTGAATTAACTTTTGATGCACTGACAGATTCAATTTGCTAGCATTTTGTTGAGGATTTTATGTCTATGTTCATTAAGGATATTTAGTTGTAGTTTTCTTTTTTTCATTATGTCTCTGACAGATGTTGGTATCATGGTGATGATGGCTTCATAGAATGAGTTAGGAAGAAGCCCCCACTCCTTGATTTTTTCCAAAAGTTTCAGTAAGATCGGTATCAGTTCTTCTTTGTATGGCTGTTGGATTTTGGCTGTGAATCCATCTGGTCCTGGGCTATTTTTAGTTAGTAGGGTTTTTATTACTGATTAAATTTCTGAACTTGTTATTGGTCTGTTCAGGTTTTCACTTTCTTCCTGGTTGAAATATGATAAATTTTGTGTTACCAGGAATTTATCCATTTCTTCTAGGTTTTCTAGCTTGTTTGTATAGAGGTGTTCATAATAGTCTTTGACGATCTTTTCTATTTCTGTGGGATTGTTCGTAACATTGTTTTGTCAGTTCTATTTGTGTTTATTTGGATCTTTTCTCTTTTTCTTTGTTAATCTAGCTAACAGTCTATGAATTTTGTTTATTTTTTTTCAAAGAAAAACTCTTGGTTTTATTTATCTCTTGTATGGACTTTTTGGTCTCAATTTATTCAGTTCTCTCTGACTTTAGTTATTTCTCATCTTTTGCTGGCCTTGGGTTTGGACTGTTCCTTTTTTTTAATAGTTCCTCTAGATGCAGTGTTAAGTCACTAATTTGAGATCTTTCTAAACTTCTGATGAGGCATGTATTGCTATAAATTTTCCTCTTATCACTGCTTTAACTGCATCCCAAAGGTTTTGGTAAGTTTGTTTCTATTTTTATTAATTTTAAATAATGTTTTGTGATTTCTGCTTTAATTTCATTGTTCACCCAAGAGTTCTCAAGGGGTACAGTTCCAGCTTTTGACCATTCAATATGATGTTGGCTGTGGATTTGTCATAGATGGCTCTTAATATTCATTCAGAAACAAGTTGTTAAATTTCCATGTTTTTCTGTAGTTTTGAGAGATCATCTTGGTATTTTTTTCTATTTTTATTGTGTGCCTTGTTATGATTTTGATTCTTTGAATTTATTGAGACTTGCTTTGTGGCCAGTCTTAGAATATGATATGTTTTTTGTGTGTGCAGATAAGAAGAATCTATATTCTGCAGTTGTTGGGTGGAGTACTCTGTAGATGTCTATGAGGTCCAATTGGTCAAGTGTTGTCTTTAAGACCAGAATTTCTTTGTTAGTTTTCTGTTTTAGTGATTCATCTGACGTTGTTAGTGGGATACTGAAGTCCCTTACTATTATTGTGTGGCTGTCTAACTCTTTTCATAGGTGAAGAATAACTTGTTTTATGAATCGGGGTGCTCCAAATTTGGGTGCATATATATTTAGAATAGTTAAGTCTTCTGTCAAATTGAACCCTTTATCATTTTGTAATGCCCTTCTTTGTCCTTCCTGATTGCTGTTGATTTAAAGTGTGTTTCATGTGATATAAGAATAGGAATGCCTTCCTTTTTTTTGTTTCCTGGTTGCCTAGTAAATATTTCTTCATCCTTTTACTTTGAGCCTGTGGGTGTCATTACATGTGAGATGGGTCTCTTGAAGACAGCAGGCAGTTGGCTCTTGGCTTTTTATCCACGTTGCCACTCTATGCCTTTTATGTGGGGAATTTAGGCCATTTACATTTCTTCTCCTGATATATCCTTTTTATATTTTTATGATTGCCTTTTAAAATATATTGAATGGTTGTAATTCCAGGGAAATGTCTTTCAGAACAGTATTTGTTCCTATCTACACGTTTTGGAGAGTGCACTAGGGGACATTGAAGTTTATTTCCTGAAAAGAGTTTAATTTTAAAATGTATTTTATTTAATAACTCAATGATTCAGGGAATGTCTAGGTATTTCAGAGATTGTTTTAGACAGTTTGTTTTCTTGTGATATGTGACCACTTCATCTAAGCTGAATAATGTCTTCATAATGTCCACTTAGAATCTTTTGAATTCTGTAGGATCTGTACTGATGTCATTGTTTCCTTTCTGATATTGGTAATTTTCCTGGGGTAGGATTCTTAGCTCCTCCTGAGGTCCTGCCTCTAAAATTCAGGGAACAATGAGTCAGATTAGTACTCTGATTTCAAAGGGAAAGCTGATCATCTACCATTTTTTGTTTATGTAAATGGACACATTAACATCCCTTGTCTGAACCTTAGTTACCTTGTTTGGAGCATTTTGCTATAAATCTCACTTCTCAGAGTGGTTGTGGGGCTTGATGTGGCTGGGGTATGGGATGGCTTAAACATAATTTATTTCCAGACCAGGTTAAGGCATGAAGGGGTTGGGACTTGTTAGAATCCTGTTGTCGGACTCCACAGTAAGGGTAGACATTTGAGGCACCCAATCAAAAACCTCAGTTGTTCCTAGCACTGAGAAATTTGATAGAATGTTTCTAAAACATTATTCATGGTCTAATGCACAAAAAGTAAAGTGATAGCCCTGGAAGTAGACAGGGAACCATAAGAAAAAAGAGAGAGCAAAGCTCAGTGGTCACCAGTGCCTGGGACCATCAAGGGGTTATTAAGGAGGAAGTTTCCACCTCTGTGGGGAACTGAAGAGGCTCCCTAGGGTCCACACACACAGGGAGTGAGCCAAGACTCTGGGCGAGGCTGGAAGCTCTGGGTCTCCTTCTGTGAGATTTTCTTTTTTTTTTTTGAGATGGAGTCTTGCTCTGCCACCCAGGCTAGAGTGCAACGGCACGATCTCGGCTCATGGCAACCTCTGCATAAAGTGGTATGTATTTAAGGCATGCATTAGACAAATTACTAAGTATTTACTAGATAAGAAAAAATTATATCTGAATCTTTTCAAATTGCCGTCTTATGCATTATATTCTCTTTTTATAGTGCAATTTCTTAATAGTTAATGCCAGAAGATTTTTTTTTCTTCCTTTCTTTCTTTCTTTTTTTTTTTTTTTTGAGACAGAGTCTCACTCTGTTGCCAGGCTGGAGTGCAGTGGCACGATCTCGGCTCACTGCAACCT
This sequence comes from Homo sapiens, assembly GCF_000001405.40. NCBI lineage: Eukaryota > Metazoa > Chordata > Mammalia > Primates > Hominidae > Homo > Homo sapiens. Next base: position 6,690 of record NT_187677.1, on the reverse strand, counting down.
CCGTCTCTCGGGTTCACGCCATTCTCCCGCCTCAGCCTCCTGAGAAGCTGGGACTACAGGCACCCTCTACCATGCCCAGCTAATTTTTTTTTTTTTGTATTTTTAGTAGAGACGGGGTTTCACCATGTTTGCCAGGATGATCTCTGTCTCTTGAACTCGTGATCCACCTGCCTTGGCTTCCCAAAGTGCTGGGATTACAGGCATGAGCCACTGCACCTGGTCGCCAAAAGATATTTTTAAAAACCTAAATGCCACTTGAAATGAATAAGACCCTCAATAATTCATGGGATATACATGTGAACTTATGACATATGATGAAATAAGCAGGTTACAAAATTGTAATATATCAAGCAAGGTAGAAAGCCATGGCAGAAAAAGAGACAAGCATTTTCAAGATAAGGAATGAAAGAGGGGAAACAGTACTATTGATTTTACAGATTTTACAAAGATATCTTAGGTGTGTTTTCCTAAATAATAAATGTACCCTCCTTTTGACCTTTATGTAATGAAATAACCATGCACACATTTTCAAATAATACTTCATTTACTTGACTTTATGCTTGAAAATTGAAGTATGGTGCTGTTTGTTATTTTCATTTATGCATTTTACTACCTTGTAATATTCCACTGAGTCTATTTACCACACTATGTTTATTTTTTTCGTAGGTGGACTTTGGTATTTTATAGCTTTGGCTAATAGGAACAGCATTCCTATAACAGTTGTGAGTGTATCATGACACATAAGTAGACATTTATCTCTAGGGTACATAATTAAGTACATAATTAAGAAGGGTCACAGCCGTGTGCCTCCTCTTTTTAACTAGATAATTCCAATACACTTCCTTAATTGATTAAAGCAATTTGTACTCTTACTATTAATGTACTAAAATTCTACATGTTCAATATTCTTTCCAAAAAATGATTTTGCTACTTTTTTCTTTTATTGAGACTGAGTCTTGCTCTATCACCCAGGCTGTAGTGATCTCGGCTCACTGCAACCTCCGCCTCCTGGGTTCATGCGATTCTCGTGCCTTGGCCTCCCAAGTAGCTGGGATTAACAGGCAGGCGCCACCATGTCTGGCTAATTTTTGTATTTTTAGTAGAGACAGGGTTTCACCATGTTGGCCAGGCTGGTCTCGAACTCCTGACCTCAGGTGATCCTCCTGCCTCGGCCTCCCAAAGTGTTGGGATTACAGGCATGAGCCACCACACCCGGCCTATTTTTTTCTTTTCCCTCCATTGTGCTATGATTTTTGACATTACAATTTTACTGAAACTACACCATAAGAATGAAGCAGAAATTATTATAACCTTTAAATAAACTTTACAACTGGTTCATACTCGTGTGAACGACAATTCTTTTGACTACTTCCCAACTGTGCATTCAATGGCGTCATATGGGCACCCTGAAGTTGGCCATAAAGGACGTATTTATACCACACTAATCAGCAAATACCATAAATCTGGGGCTTTATATGTTCAGAGTTTTCTTAAGAAAATAATTTTTTCAGAGAGCCAGTTTAACAGAATACCATGAGGCTGAGCCTTCGAGCGTTAGTGTGCTCATTCTGAGAGATGATATTTCTGGACGAAGTACACAGGTATCATCCGATGAAGAGTGAAGGGAATTCAGGGTCCAGAGAGGGTGCTAGGGCATCATTTCAGACTCATATTTCCCTTTTTTTTTTTTTTTTGGAGATGGAGTCTTGCTCTGTTGCCCAGGCTGGAGTGCAGTGGCAAGATCTTGGCTCACTGCAACCTCCGCCTCCCGGGTTCAAGCTATTCTCCCGCCTCAGCTTCCTGAGCAGCTGGGATTACAGGTGCTCACTGCCACACCCAGCTAATTTTTGTATCTTTTAGTAGAGACAGGGTTTCACCATGTTGGCCAGGTTGGTCTCGAACTTCTGACCTCAAGTGATCCGCCCACCTCAGCCTCCCAAAGTGCTGGGATTACAGGTGTGAGCCACTGTGCCTGGCCTCAGACTCATGTTTCAAAGTCCCAAATACAAATCTGCCCACCTATTCCAGTTATTTAATCCAGATCTATGCTCAGAACTGAAAAGATGGAGAATCAATAGTTCACTTTAGAGAATGCGGTAGTTGGAAACAAAGACAAATGTATTACATGACAGTGGACCAGAGCACGTGATCGCAGGGGTGTGGATGCAAACCCACCATGGGGGACGTGCCTTCACATCACAGAGAGCGAAAGGAAGGGAGGGGCAGACACGGAGGATCCACAACAGCAGGACTGAAAGCACTGCCATTTAATGGAAGTTTAATGGAGGAAGCGTTCTCTACAGGCACCCAGACATCTTCCTGAACCTGACCCAAGCCTCCCCTTCTCGACTTTCTCAGTAGACGGTTTCCCGAATGATGGTCCAGACTTTCTTCCAGAACCTCCTAGGACTATCAGATTCATTGCCAAGGCTCTGGCACTCTGAAGGGTGCATTGTTTTCTCATGTATTTACCTCCTTGCTGCATCTTGGGGACTTCTCTAGCTGTGCCAATCCTAAAGCAGCAGAATCCCGAGGACCACCAGGACCAAGCCAGCCACAGCCACGCGGATGAGATTCTCCACTGTGTAATCCTGGGGGTGTGAGGCTGGGGATGGTGGACCAAGAGGTCTCAGAGGTCAGGGCAGATCAACATCACCCGGGACCCCTGGATGTCCACCCAGGGCACCCACCTCCCCTTCACAGGACCTGACCCTCTGTGCCAGCCCCATAACCGAGAGCATCTCCTTACACACCAGTCTTGGAGTCTGTCTTGTTTTGCGATGGGCTGAGGGTCTCAGCTGCTCCTGAGAATCAACCAAAAAAGGGGGAGGTGTGTGAGGAGTTGAAGAGACTTAAGCCAACATGTCCCTCAGTTGCTGCATTCCTTTGTGTCTACACTTCTCCTAACTGCTCTGTAGTTGTGTGATAGAACCTTTCCCTGCCGTGGCAGAGGTACATTCGCATACATACATACATATATGCATAGGTGTAAATATGTGTGTATACATAATATGTGTTATGCATATGTGTATACATAATATGTATTATGCATATGTGTATAGATAATATGTATTATGCATATGTGTATGCATAATATGTATTATAAGATATAGTGTGAGTATATATAAATATATAATATATAAGATATATAATAGTGTGTGTATACATATAAATATATAATAAGATATGTAATAGTGTGTGCATATATAAATATATAATATATAATAAGATATATAATAGTGTGTATATATAAATATATAATACATAATATATTATAAGATATATAATAGTATGTATATATAAATATATAATACATAATATATAAGATATATAATAGTGTGTGTATATATAAATATATAATACATTATATATTATAAGATATATAATAGTATATATAAATATATAGTACATAATATATAATAAGATATATAATAGTGTGTGTATACATATAAATATATAATAAGATATGTAATAGTGTGTGCATATATAAATATATAATATATAATAAGATATATAATAGTGTATATATATAAATATATAATACATAATATATTATAAGATATATAATAGTATGTATATATAAATATATAATACATAATATATAAGATATATAATAGTGTGTGTATATATAAATATATAATACATTATATATTATAAGATATATAATAGTATATATAAATATATAGTACATAATATATAATAAGATATATAATAGTGTGTGTATACATATAAATATATAATAAGATATGTAATAGTGTGTGCATATATAAATATATAATATATAATAAGATATATAATAGTGTATATATATAAATATATAATACATAATATATTATAAGATATATAATAGTATGTATATATAAATATATAATACATAATATATAAGATATATAATAGTGTGTGTATATATAAATATATAATACATTATATATTATAAGATATATAATAGTATATATAAATATATAATACATAATATATAATAAGATATATAATAGTGTGTGTATATATAAATATATAATACATAATATATATTATAAGATATAATAATGTGTGGGTAATATAAATATATAATACATAATATATAAGATATATAATAGTGCATATATAAATATATAATACATAATATATATTATAAGATATAATAATGTGTGGGTATATATAAATATATAATACATAATATATATTATAAGATATAATAATGTGTGGGTATATATAAATATATAATACATAATATATAAGATATATAATAGTGTATATATAAATATATAATACATAATATATATTATAAGATATATAATAGTGTGTGAGTATATATAAACACATACATATATATTTGAAGTGAGAAGAGTATTATATAATTTAGAAACAAACAAGTTTGTCCTCCATTTTCTTGTGGTTAATGTAATTATTATCAATAAATCAGAAGAGATCATTTCGGAAAGGATTGAAAGGGAGTGTGTCTGTGGTAAGTTAATAGGAACTAAAATTAGCATACCCAAACCAATAGCTTTCTCATCCATACGTAACTAATTTTAGAAAATAGAAAGGAATCAAAGACTTTCAAATTATTCAAGTAGTAAAACAATGCTTAAAATTCACAATGTCCACAATTTTTATGAATACAACTTCAAGCATCTGCTAACTGTATAAAGTTTAATTTTAAATGTATTGGATAAAAAGACATTATTAATGAGAAGTTATTCTCCATCATGAATGCACATATTTAATTTAATCCCAAAGAAAATCAGAGCACAGTTATTTTACATCATAACGCTACCTAACAAATTAAATGTGTAAATTATAAATGCCAGCATTGCTTTGAAATCTTCAGAAACAGAAAGAGAAACTAGATATGTGGACATAAAAAATAAAGGACAGAAAGGAATTGCACACGAGGTTTGCTGTTGAATAATTTGCCTGCATTGCTGCAGTGAGCAGGTGCATGATCTCCCCTTCGTCTCAGGTATGCACTGAGTATTTTGGGGCCGCCAGGGGAGCCCAGGTGGGGAGTGGGTGGGGCCTCCATCTTCTACCCTCAGCCTAAGCATGATTCCTCCAAGGTTTCTCCATATCTCATTTCAGCCCTCCCTGGCCTTTAGCCCCATCTGAGGTCTCTGGGGTGGGAGCCCAGGATTAGGAGGTCCCTGACTATTTCCACCCTCTCATGGGCTGGGCCCTCCCCTGCCGACCCTCCCCCTTTACTCCCCTCTTTCCTTAGCGTCCTGAGCTCTCCTGGGGGCAGGGCCTGAGCTGAGGTTTGAGCTCAGAGAGGACAGGGTCAGCGGCCTCACCTGAGACCACGAGCTCCAGGGGGTCACTGGGGTGAGACAGCAGGTAGGGGAAGAATCTGCGTGAGCTGTAGCACCTGTAGGTCCCCGCGTGGGCTGAGGTCACAGGACTCATGGGGAATTCAGCCTGGTGCTGCTGAGCTTGGTGCTCTGATCTCAGACGCAGTGGGTGATGGGCTGCCCCCTCCTTGGTCAGAAGGAAAGTGTCCAACTGCTCCCGTGACTGACACAGCAGGGTCACGTTCTCTCCTGAGGCCACCGTGGGGCCCGGCTGCACCGAGAGGGAGGGTCTGCCACGGATCTGTCCTGGAGAGAAGAAGGATGGGTGAGGGGCTGCCCCACCTCGTTCTGAGCTGACACCTCCCCAGGCCTCTCTCTGGGACCCTCAGTCTCTGTCTCTGTTTTCTCTGAGTCTCCCTCTACCCGCCCATCCCCTGTCTCTGTCTGTCTCTCCCTCCCTTGGGACCCCCACCCCTCATCCTGGCCATCACCACCTGGGCTCCCCCAGCAGGGCCTGTGCGGAGCGTGGGTCCCTGACTGAACCTGCTGGGCTCCTCACCTGCGATCAGGATGCTCAGGGGGTCACTGGGGGCCGACCACTCGGAGGAGAGGTTGTGTGCACCGTAGCATCTGTACTGGCCCCCGTGGGAGACCCTCACAGGGCCCAGGGTGAAGTTGGCCTGGGAGAGCCCAGCCTGGGGCTGCCGGCCAGAGCCCTGGACGAGGTCATGTCCCCCCTCCTTGTACAGAGTGAATTTGTCATAGCCGACATCAGAGCCACACTGGAGGGTCAGATTCTCCCCAGGGGCCACGACAGGGCCCTGCAGGGTCAGGAGGGAGGGCTTCCTAGACACGCCTGGAGGGAAAGAAGAGTCGGGACTAGGAGGGCTGGTTCCTCCCACACCCCTTCCTTCTCCCCTCCTGGCCCTGCAGGTCTCACTGTCTCTCATACTCAGTGTCTCTGGGCTCAGGAGTCCCAAACTTCCCTTGTTCCACCCTCCTACATGGGGCTCCGTGAGAGTAAGTTCTCAAAAATAAATAGGGCAAGGAGGAAGACATCCATACCTAAGACCAGGATCTCCATGGTATCACTGGGTTCCGACCACACCCAGGGGAAGTTCGTGTAATGCCCATAGCATCTGAACATCCACCGGTGACTGGCAGCCACACGGCCCACAGGGAACAGGGCCAGGGACAAGGGACAGCCCCTTGGAGAGTTCCTGTGAGTCCAGCATCCAGGAGAGCTTGTTTTCTCCTTCCTCAATCAAAATGAACCTGTGAAATCCCACCCTTGAGCTACACTGGATGGTCACGTTCTCTCCTGAGGTCACCACAGGGCTCGGCAGGGCTGAGAGAGTGGGTTTTCTGTGGGCTCCTAGGAGAGAAGGAGACACTGTCTGTG